>NT_113889.1:0-161147 GCF_000001405.40 Homo sapiens | reverse complement strand
GAATTCCATATGTATCTAAACCATAGATTTATCAATTATCACTTAAACACAACTTGGAGGACACTATCCAGAATTTGTAGGGCTTGGCCTTATTCTAGAGAAACATACACTGGAATAGGCAGTTGGATTTTAAATTCAGTCTTAAATCTCTTGAAAATAATGCATTTTTTTCTCAGAGATGAGATATTGTCCAACTCTCTTGACTTATTTTAGATTTGATATTATACAGTTCGAACACCATGGAGATTTACTAATCTGAATGAACACATACCAAATTAGTCTTTGCTCCAGTCTCAAAATCTGAGATTAATTCTGGCTGCTGAAGAAATTTTCCAGGGTTAGGAGTATGCTTCAACGCTGGTGACTGATACTACTTTCTGGTAAACTATAGGTGACTTGTGCCCTTTCACTGCCTAAACTCACTTTGTAGAACACCATTAAATGAAAATCATCACCAGTAATTTGGGAGGCTAAGGCGGGCAGATTATTTGAGGTCAGGAGTTTGAGACCAGCCTGGCCAACATGATGAAACCCCGTCTCTACTGAAAATACAAAAATTTATCCAGGCATGACGGGGTGCACCTGGAATCCCAGCTACTTGGGAGGCTGAGGCAGGAAAATCGCCTGAACCCAGGATGTGAAGGTTGCAGTGAACAGAGATGTTGCCATTGCACTCCAGCCTGGGCAACAGAGCGAGACTTCATCTCCAAAAAAAGGAAAAAAGAGAGAGAGAGAAAGAAAATTATCAGTGTTCAGTGACTCTTTTTTTTCATGCTGATAAACTATTACACAGAAAAAGAAAATTTTCATGCTGATAAACTATTACACAGAAAAAGAAATGTATCCATTATGGACAATTAAAAGGGCTATACAATCTCTCTCATTGTATGATTCTGTTTTTTTCTTTTTCTTTTTTCCTTTTTTTTAAGACAGGATCTCACTCTGTCACCCAGGCTGGAATGCAGTGGCTCTATCTTGGCTCACTGCAACCTCAGCCTCCCAGGTTCAAGCTATTCTCCTGCCTTAGCCTCCTGAGTAGCTAGGACTAAAGGCATTCACCACCACGCCCAGCTAATTTGTGTATTTTTTTAATACATGTGGGGTTTTGCCATGTTGTCCAGGCTGGTCTTGAACTCCTGACCTCAAATTATCCTCCCGCCTTGGCCTCCCTAAGTGTTGGCATTAGAGGCATAAGCCACCAGGCTTGGCCTGATTCTGTTTTTTAACACAATTCCTATTACTTCTGTTTTAATTTTACAAAGCCATAGGTTTTTAAACTGAGAAACCTTTGAGAAAGCATCCAGATAAATTTATAAATAGAAAAATAAATTCAGATACATAGAATTAAGTTTATGATCTAACTAGTCGGTGGCAACTAAAAAATTTTCAAGTTCCATAAACTGAAGTGAAAGGATCACTTTCCTGAAAATATTACAAAGGCTTGATAATTACCTGGATTGTACTAAAACCTACACAATCTAGTATATTCTATAGCAGCAATTCATAAAGACAGCTTCACTTACCATGTAGAATTTATACATACACTAAATTTAAGGAATGTGTTACTTGGTATTGGAGTAGGATAATAACTCACAGCAGAACTGATTTGCATGAATGGCTATTAAACTATCGTCGATGTAGAAATTAAACGTTAAGCTATTCAGCCCCAGATGTGTGAGAGACAGAGAAAATCTTCAAAAGAGTTCAGCTATCAAATCCCTTCCTCAATAGCTCTTTGAGTCTCAAGACAGTTTCAACCACACACAGCCTCAGAGTCTTATGGTCCAAACAACATTTGACTGCACCTCTAAAGTAAGCAAACATTTGAAAAGAAACAATCAAAGATCTATGTCTGTAGTTATGGTCAAGGAGGTCCACCTACTGGTGGGTGAGCATGGAAAGGGTAGGGACTAAGCCAAATGATGGGTTTATCAAAACAGAAACAAGAGAAGCCAATGGAAGCAGAGTCCAGGTTATAACAGGAGCCCAGGCACTTGATGTGGGAACCCTATTTGTCTCATTTAGCAGCTAGAGTTTTAACGTCCTATGAGGCAGAGCTAATGTCCTTCATTATTATTTTTTTGTAATTGACTGCATAGTTTAGAACTATGCCTTGAATTTAATATCTATCTGTTGAATAAATGAATTAATAACGATGAAAATCTGTCCACAGGTTATGTGCAGTACTGAAGAGCAACTTCAGCTATTGAGGTATCTATCAGAAGTCTTACTCTCCAAAAAGCCTCTGGTTAATTACTGATATAGGTTGCTGACAATTTCACTCTCACAATGTAGGGGAAGCAGGAATGTTATCTGGCCTCTTGGCTCCTCTTCCTTTGCCTTCCACAGATCTCTCTGCTGGTTCACAGAGGAACACTTTCGTGGCTCTCAGTTCATTTTGCAATTCTGGTAGAATTTCATTCCATCCTCAATGGTAACTAGCTTGTCCTTCACCCAACGCTTATTTATGGAGGGACAGATAGCAAGAAGAAATCGCTCTCTGGATTACAAAGTGGGAAGATGCACCCCCTTGGCCAGAATGCCTGCCTCCTATGTTCATGATGGATATTTCTAATTGATCTAGGCACTCTTTTCCATTGAGCCCATGTCCCAAATTGGCCCTGAGTTAGGGAGAGGGCTCTAGAGTGGGAAAGATGTACCCAAAACTTCCCTAATCTGACTATCAAGCCTAAAAAATTAAACTTTCAATTCAACATCCCTTGTTTCTCCAACTTGGAGTGCCTGATGGTGTGGGAAGCCCCTACTCATACAAATTCATAGTTGAAGATTGTTGGTAATTTTGCCCAACCCCTTCTTTTTTGTGTTATACTTTAAGTTCTAGGGCACATGTGCACAACGTGCAGGTTCGTTTCATATGTATACATGTGACATGTTGGTGTGCTGCACCCATTAACTCGTCATTTACATTAGGTATATATCCTAATGCTTTCCCTCCCCTAGCCCTTCACCCCACAACAGGCCCCAGTGTGTGCTGTTCCTCTTCCTGTGTCCATGTGTTCTCATTGTTTAATTCCCACCTATGAGTGAGAACATGTGGTGTTTGTTTTTTTGTCCTTGTGATAGTTTGCTGAGAATGATGGTTTCCAGCTTCATCCATGTCCCTACAAAGGACATGAACTCATCATTTTTATGGCTGCATAGTATTCCATGGTGTATATGTGCCACATTTTCTTAATCCAGTCTATCATTGTTGGATATTTGGGTTGGTTCCAAGTCTTTGCTATTGTCAGTAATGTCTCAATAAACTCCTTCTTTCTTTGCCTAGTTACACCTCAATGCAACCTCCTGGCAGGCCAGCCTTAAGCCCAGCAGTCCCACCATGCATCTAAGCTGCGTTCTCATCAGACCCAACTTCAATTATAAATAACTGAGATGATGCCAGAGGCCAGAATCCCTGAGAACCCAATTTGCTGTCATCACCATGGCTGAAACAAGGCGCTTGGCATCTAGAAAAGCTGATCTGTAGGAAATTTCCAATAGAGTTCAATTTTTCTAAGTTTAAAATGTACAATATCATCAAGGTCAGACACTCGAGATAAAACTAGGCTTGTTTTTAAATATAATAAAAATATTTGAAGAATAGTAAGAGTGGTGACTACTTTTACACAGGAATGTTTTAAATAAATTGTTTTTTTCTGGTGCCTTTTAAATTTTGTGATTTGTCAATGAGATGCTGATATATTTTTAATGAAGCATGCCTTGTAAAATAATAAGTGAATGAAAAATACACAGTAATATTCACATCAACAAAGCTAGAAGAAGACTGTATGTCTCAAGAGGCTCCATCATCTACCCAGTGGCCACTTGACCAAATTAAGATCCAAATACCAAAAAGAAAAGTAATTAAAATTTGTGTTGTATGCCTTATAAGACCAAACCTATAAAATGAGGGGAAACTTCACAATTACTTGTAATTTGCTGTGTGGAATTGTAACAGATGGATTATAAAGATGATTCCATGATAAACATCTAAATGTGGTTACTACCTTCTGTGCTTTCTTGGTTCATATTTTTATTGTTTTTTCTTTATAAACAGATAATTCATTCTTATCTATGGCAATGTAAACTTTTCAGATGTATTGAATATGTCATAGATTTTTTCTATTGTAGGCATCTCTAAAAAAGATATAGAAAACAAACAGAGCAAAGTCTGGTGTTGGAAAGGAGAGAGAAATAAAGCTTGTAAAGGAATGAAAATTAGAGCTTTCTGGAGATAAAAATTTTTAGAAGATACAAAAACTAGTTACTGAATTAGATGAAGGATCTTTTTCAGTTTTTCCCGTTGTTCACCTCTTAGAAGGCACATATTCACAGCAGAAAAGAAAGAAAGGGTTAAAAAGAAAATACCTCAGTGTAGTGAGACTGTAATTTCATGAGGGCATTACTGAAGACTCACTTTTTCCAGCATCACTCAGCATGGTATTATGCATGTGTGTAATGTAAAGGAAAGTGAATACGCATTCTTGGATGTGTGATCAAATAGCAATTCCAGAATATAATCAGAAGCTGATTCATTATCCTCTTGAGATTTCACAATCTTTCCATCAGGAATTAAAATTCAGAGGAGGGTAAATGTATCTAATCTTTTGAAAGTTAAAAATTAGAGGGTGGAGCCAAGATGGCCGAATAGGAACAGCCCCAGTCTACAGCTCCCAGCGTGAGTGATGCAGAAGACGGGTGATTTCTGCATTTCCAACTGAGGTACCAGGTTCATCTCACTGGGGAGTGCTGGACAGTGGTTGCAGCGCACCATGCATGAGCCAAAGCAGGGCAAGGCATCACCTCACCTGGGAAGCACTAGGGGTCAGGGAATTCCCTTTCCTAGTCAAATGAAGGGGTGACAGATGGCACCTGGAAAATCAGGTCACTCCCACCCTAATACTGCGCTTTTCCAACAGGCTTATCAAATGGCACACCAGGAGATTATATCCAGCACCTGGCTTGGAGGGTCCTACACCCCCAGAGCCTCGCTGTTTGCTAGCACAGCAGTCTGAGATCAAACTGCAAGGTAACAGTGAGGCTGGGGGAGGGGCGCCCGCCATTGCTCAGGCTTGAGTAAGTAAACAAAGCAGCCAGGAAGTTCGAACTGGGTGGCCCACCACAGCTCAAGGAGGCCAGCCTGCCTCTGTAGGCTCCACCTCTGGGGGCAGGGCACAGACCAACAAAAGACAGCAATAACCTCTGCAGACTTAAATGTCCCTGTCTGACAGCTTTGAAGAGAGTAGTGGTTCTCCCAGCACGCAGCTTGACATCTCAGAACGGGCAGACAACCCCCACCTAGTGGGTCCCTGAACCCCGAGTAGCCTAACAGGGAGGCACCCCCCAGTAGGGGCAGACTGACACCTCACATGGCCGGGTACCCCTCTGAGACAAAACTTCCAGAGGAACGATCAGGCAGCAGCATTTGCAGTTCACCAATATCCACTGTTCTGCAGCCACGACTGCTGATACCCCCCAGGCAAATAGTGTCTGGAGGAGACCTCCAGTAAACTCCAACAGACCTGCAGCTGAGGGTCCTGACTGTTAGAAGGAAAACTAACAAACAGAAAGGACATCCACACCAAAACCCCATCTGTATGTCACCATCATCAAGGACCAAAGGTAGATAAAACCACAAAGATGGGGAAAAACAGAGCAGAAAAACAGGAAACTCTAAAAATCAGAGTGCCTATCCTCCTCCAAAGGAATGCAACTCCTCACCAGCAATGGAACAAAGCTGGACGGAGAATGACTTTGACGAGTTGAGAGAGGAAGACTTCAGAAGATCAAAGTACTCCGAGCTAAAGGAGGAAGTTCGAACCAATGGCAAAGAAGTTAAAAACTTGGAAAAAAAATTAGACGAACAGATAACTAGAATAACCAATGTGGAGAAGTCCTTAAAGGACCTGACGGAGCTGAAAACCATGGCATGAAAACTACATGACAAATGCATAAGCCTCAGTAACCGATGTGATCAACGGGAAGAAAGGGTATCAGTGATGGAAGATGAAATGAATGAAATGAAGCATGAAGAGAAGTTTAGAGAAAAAAGAATAAAAAGAAATGAACAAAGCCTCCAAGAAATATGGGACTATGTCAATAGACCAAATCTACGTCTATTTGGTTTACCTGAAAGTGACAGGGAGAATGGAACCAAGTTGGAAAACACTCTGCAGTATATTATCCAGGAGAACTTCCCCAATCTAGCAAGGCAGGCCAACATTCACATTCAGGAAATACAGAGAATGCTACAAAGATACTCCTTGAGAAGAACAATTCCAAGACACATAATTGTCAGATTCACCAAAGTTGAAATGAAAGAAAAAATTTTAAAGGCAGCCAGAGAGAAAGGTCGGGTTACCCACAAAAGGAAGCCCATCAGACTAACTGCTGATCTCTCTGCAGAAACTCTACAAGCCAGAAGAGAGTAGGGGCCAATATTCAACATTCTTAAAGGAAAGAATTTTCAACCCTGAATTTCATATCCAGCCAAACTAACCTTCATAAGTGAGGGAGAAATAATATGCTCCACAGACAAGCAAATGCTGAGAGATTTTGTCACCACCAGGCCTGCCCTAAAAGATCTCCTGAAGGAAGCACTAAACATGGAAAGGAGCAACTGGTACAAGCCACTGTAAAACCACGCCAAATTGTAAAGACCATCAAGGCTAGGAAGAAACTGCATAAACTAACGAGGAAAATAACCAGCTAACATCATAATGACAGGATCAAATTCACACATAACAATACTAACCTTAAATGTAAATGGGTTAAATGCTCCAATTAAAAGGTGCAGACTGGCAAATTGGATAAAGAGTCAGGACCCATCAGTGTGCTGTATCCAGGAAACCCATCTCACGTGCAGAGACACAAATAGGCTCAAAATAAAGGGATGGAGGAAGATCTACCAAGCAAATGGAAAACAAAAAAAGGCAGGGGTTGCAATCCTAGTCTCGGATAAAACAGACTTTAAACCAACAAAGATCAAAAGAGACAAAGAAGGCCATTACATAATGGTAAAGGGATCAATTCAACAAGAACTAACTATCCTAAATATATATGCACACAATACAGAAGCACCCAGATTCATAAAGCAAGTCCTTAGTGACCTACAAAGTGACTTAGACTCCCACACAATAATAATGGGAGACTTTAACACCCCACTGTCAACATTAGACAGATCAACGAGACAGAAAGTTAACAAGGATATACAGGAATTGAACTCAGCTCTGCACTAAGCAGACCTAATAGACATCTACAGAACTCTGTACCCCAAATCAACAGAATATGTATTCTTTTCAGCACCACACCACACCTATTCCAAAATTGAGCACATAGTTGGAAGTAAAGCACTCCTTAGCAAATGTAAAAGAACAGAAAGTATAACAAACTGTCTCTCAGAACACAGTGCAATCAAACTACAACTCAGGATTTAAAAACTCACTCAAGACCACTCAACTACATGGAAACTGAACAACCTGCTCCTGAATGACTACTGGGTACATAACGAAATGAAGGCAGAAATAAAGATGTTATTTGAAACCAACAAGAACAAAGACACAACATACCAGTATCTCTGGGACACATTCAAAGCAGTGTGTGGAGGGAAATTTACAGCACTAAATGCCCACAAGAGAAAGCATGAAAGAACTAAAATTGACATCCTAACATCACAATTAAAAGAACTAGAGAAGCAAGAGCAAACACATTCAAAAGATAACAGAAGGCAAGAAGTAATTTAGATCAGAGCAGAACTGAAGGAAATAGAGACACAAAAAACCCTTCAAAAAATCAATGAATCCAGGAGCTGGTTTTTTGAAAAGATCAACAAAATTGATAGACCACTAGCAAGACTAATAAAGAAGAAAAGAGAGAAGAATCAAAGAGATGCAATAAAAATTGACAAAGGGGATATCACCACCGATCCCACAGAAATACACACTACCATCAGAGAATACTATAAACATCTCTACACAAATAAACTAGAAAATCTAGAAGAAATGGATAAATTCCTCGACACGTATACTCTCCCAAGACTAAACCAGGAAGAAGTTGAATCCCTGAATAGACCAATAACAGGCTCTGAAATTGAGGCAATAATTAATAGCTTACCAACCAAAAAAAGTCCAGGACCAGATGGATTCACAGCCAAATTCTACCAGTGGCACAAGGAGGAGCTGGTACCATTCCTTCTGAAACTATTCCAATCAATAGAAAAAGAGGGAATCCTCCCTAACTCATTTTATGAGGCCAGCATCATCCTGATACCAAAGCCTGGCAGAGACAAAACAAAAAAAGAGAATTTTAGACCAATATTCTTGATGAACAGTGATGCAAAAATCCTCAATAAAATACTGGCAAACAGAATCCTACAACACATAAAAAAGCTTATCCACCATGATCAAGTGGATTTCATCCCTGGGATGAAAGGCTGGTTCATCATATGAAAATCAGTAAACGTAATCCAGCATATAAACAGGACCAAAGACAAAAACCACATGATTATCTCAATAGATGCAGAAAAGTCCTTTGACAAAATTCAGCAAATCTTCATGCTAAAACCTCTCAATAAATTAGGGATTGATAGGACGTATCTCAAAATAATAAGAGCTATCTATGACAAACCCACAGCCAATATCATATTGAATGGACAAAAACTGGAAGCATTCCCTTTGAAAACTGGCACAAAACAGGGATGCCCTCTCTCACCACTCCTATTCAACATAGTATTGGAAGTTCTGGCCAGGGCAATCAGGAAGGAGAAGGAAATAAAGGGCATTCAATTAGGAAAAGAGGAAGTCAAATTGTCCCTGTTTGCAGATGACATGATTGTGAATGTGGAAAACTCCATCGTCTCAGCCCAAAATCTCGTTAAGCTGATAAGCAACTTCAGCAAAGTCTCAGGATACAAAATCAATGTGCAAAAATCACAAGCATTCTTATACCCCAATAACAGACAAACAGAGAGCCAAATCATGAGTTAACTCCCATTAACAATTGCTTCAAAGAGAATAAAATACCTAGGAATACCACTTACAAGGGATGTGAAGGACCTCTTCAAGGAGAACTGCAAATCACTGCTCAATGAAATAAAAAAGGATACAAACAAATGGAAGAACATTCCATGCTCATGGGTAGGAAGAATCAATGTCGTGAAAATGGCCATACTGCCCAAGGTAATTTAAAGATTCAATGCCATCTCCATCAAACTACCAAAGACTTTCTTCACAGAATTGGAAAAAAATTACTTTAAAGTTCATATGGAACCAAAAAAGAGCCTGCATTGCCAAGTCAATCCTAAGGCAAAAGAACAAAGCTGGAGGCATCATGCTACCTGACTTCAAACTATACTACAAGGCTACAGTAACCAAAACAGCATGGTACTAGTACCAAAACAGAGATATAGACCAATGGAACAGGACAGAGCCCTCAGAAATAATGCCGCATATCTACAACTATCTGATCTTTGACAAACCTGACAAAAACAAGAAATAGGGAAAGGATTCCCTATTTAATAAATGGTGCTGGGAAAACTGGCTAGCCATATGTAGAAAGCTGAAACTGGATCCCTTCCTTACACCTTATACAAAAATTAATTCAAGATGGATTAAAGACTTACATGTCAGACCTAAAACCATAAAAACCCTAGAAGAAAACCTAGGCAATACCATTCAGGACATAGGCATGGGTAAGGACTCCATGTCTAAAACACCAAAAGCAATGGCAACAAAAGACAAAATTGACAAATGGGATCTAATTAAACTAAGGAGCTTCTGCACAGCAAAAGAAACTACCATCAGAGTGAATAGACATCCTACAGTATGGGAGAAAAGTTTTGCAACCTACTCATCTGACAAAGGGCTAATATCCAGAATCTACAATGAACTCAAACAAATTCACAAGAAGAAAACAAACAACCCCATCAAAATGTGGGCAAAGGAAATGAACAGACAATTCTCAAAAGAAGACATTTATGCAGCCAAAAGACACATGAAAAAATGCTCATCATCACTGGCCATCAGAGAAATGCAAATCAAAACCACAATGAGATACCATCTCACACCAGTTAGAATGGCGATCATAAAAAAGTCAGGAAACAACAGGTGCTGGAGAGGATGTGGAGAAATAGGAACACTTTTATACTGTTGATGGGACTGTAAACTAGTTCAACCATTGTGGAAGTCAGTGTGGTGATTCCTCAGGGATCTAGAACTAGAAATACCATTTGACCCAGCCATCCCATTACTGGGTATATACCCAAAAGATTATAAATCATGCTGCTCTAAAGACACATGCACACGTATGTTTATTGTGGCACTATTCACAATAGCAAAGACTTGGAACCAACCCAAATGTCCAACAATGATAGACTGGATTAAGAAAATGTGGCACATATACACCACGGAATACCATGCAGCCATAAAAAATGATGAGTTCATGTCCTTTGTAGGGACATGGATGAAGCTGGAAACCATCATTCTCAGCAAACTATTGCAAGGGAAAAAACCAAACACCACATGTTCTCACTCATAGGTGGGAATTGAACAATGAGGAAACATGGATACAGGAAGGGGAACATCACACACCGGGGACTGTTGTGGGGTGGGTGGAGGGGGTAGGGATAGCATTAGGAGATATACCTAATGTTAAATGAGGAGTTAATGGGTGCAGCACACCAACATGGCACATGTGTACATATGTAGCAAACCTGCACGTTGTGCACATGTACCCTAAAACTTAAAGTATAATAAAAAAAATTAACAGGAGCCTTTTATACAGACAAATTTGATTTGCATCATGATCATCACTAAAGAGCATCACAGATTTAAACCATATTTACACAGTTAAAACAATGTAACCAAATATGCAATATATTATGTAACATTGTACAAGATGCTTTTCAAACTTGCAAACTGACCTTTAAAACAATTTTACATAAAATAATATTTTTAGTAAGAGAAAAGACAGACCTGTGGTTAGGGCAAAATATTTCTGTTCAAATTACAAAATCCTGAATGACAAATCAAAGGATAGAAAAAAATTATATTGTACCTTGAATTTGAAGTCTTCAAATTTATTTAGATATATGTATCTATATGTATTAATGGAGACATATTAGTTTAGAACAGTTATATTTTGAAGATGTCATTCTTTAAAAACTTATTAATATCTACAGGATTGCTGCAGATATTTTAATTTTAAACAAATATTTTTCACTAATGTGACCAGTATTTATGTCCTATTTTATTAAACAGACATTTCAAGATTCTTTTAGAGTTAATTTTTAAAAATTAAGTATCATAAATATTTCTGAAGTACTACCTTAAAAAAAAAAAACCCTTTCCTGGCTTTTCATATAGTAACACATTTTCATAATGACTAAAAATGTAAAAATAAATTAACAACCTTAACCAAATTAGAATTCTACTTTTTATATCAGATGAAATACTATATAAAATGTCCAGAAAATCTAGTGTTAATGAGGCTGTGCAGCCTGGACATTTGATGTCTCCTCTGTGGGAATGTGAACTAACCCAACCATTCTGAATAATTATTGGCTCTGTGTGTTAACAGTCTAGAGTCCTGAAACAAGGATCTTAATTCTAAAATAAAATCCTATTCTAAGAATATACCAAGGGTTGATAATCAAGGAAGTTTCAAAGTTATAGAGAAGAACCTTAATCCTAGCATTATATATGTAATCACCCATATAAACCAGATAGTGTTGAATGAAACTGCAGAAAAACAAAGAGCCTACAGAATATGTTTCTCTTTGTGTACAACTGTAAATGTACACATCTATCCATGTAAAATTTTACATCTCAGGAGGATAGGTACCAACATGTTAACATGCTATATCTATAAGATAAGAAATTTTACTTCCCTACAATTTCATACACACACACACACAGACACACTCTCTCAAACACACATACACACACACCGAGGTTATATACACACACAAATATATATATAAACATACATGTTTATATAGGTACACACACACATACATATACACAGATGGTCAACAACTGATAATGGTTCAATTTATGATTTTTTTACTTTATGATGAAGCAAAATTGATAGCTTTGAATAGAATATAACCATTCTGCTTTTCACTTTCAGTACAATATTCAACAAATTACATAAAATATCCAATACTTTATTATAAAGCGGGTTTTGTATTCAATGATTTTGCCCAATTGTCAGCTGATGTAAGTGTTCTGAGCACATTAAAGGTATGCCAGGCTAAGCTGTGATATTCAGTAAGTTAAGTATTAAATACATTTTTAACTTACTGTATTTTCAATTTATAATCAGCTTATCAAGACTTAACCCCATTGTACATTGAAAAGCATTTGTATTGCATTAAACATGTTATATAATATTTTTAATTGAAATTACTGGCAACTTTTGAAAAAATGTAATGAAATAATGTGCTTTGCTATTGGTTAAAATGTTTTTGGGCAGGGTCAGTGGCTTACACCTGTAATCCCAGCACTTTGGTAGGCTGAGGTGGGCAGATCACTTGAGGTCAGGAGTTTGAGACCAGCCTGGCAAACAGGGTGAAACCCCATCTCTACTAAAAATACAAAAATTATCTGAGTGTGGTGGCATGTGCCTGTAATCCCAGCTACTAGGGAGGCTGAGGTGTGAGAATTGCTTGAACTAGGCAAGCAGAGGTTGCAGTGAGCCAAGATCATGCCACTGCACTCCAGCCTGGGCAACTGAGTAAGGTTCTGTCAAAAATAAAAAAGAAAGAAAGAAAAGAAAAAAATGTTTTTAGCTTCAAGTAACAGAATAGTCAACTAATTGAAGAAAAAAACAAGGAGCAACTTTGACCAAATCACACAACAAATAGATGGTATCAATGCTTAGTTAATTCAACATGATCCACTTCTTTGTGATTCTCTTATCTTTCTACCTATGTTTTCAAGATGGCTATGGCATTCCCAGCCTTACAACTTCATGTGACAAAATTCAATGGCAGGAAATAATAAGTGACGGCATTTTGATACTTTAAGGAAAAACTTTAAGGATTGGAAAACAGGGATGCCATATGTCCAGTAACATGGGATAGCCGCTCCTAATTAAGGATTGCTGTATGTCCTGAATGACTTTCTAATGTAATGAAGGTGAATAACCTGCTTTGTTTAATTATACAATCCCAAATGTAACTGCCTAAGTGCCAAGTACTTTTGCATGGTTTTAATATGCCATGAATTTTGCAAGAATGAAACTACTATGTATATGAGAAAAGATGGTAGATTTTTTCATTTAGATACTCATTTCAGAGTCTCAATAGGAAAAATAGAACACACACAAACTAAGATAATTTAACATGGGTTTATTTCCAAAGAGACTACTTACGAAAATGTCAGGGGAGAAGGGTGAAGGAATCACAGAAATCACACGCCACAATAACTCTGGGTTAGCAGTGGCAGGCAGAGTTCTGGGGAGTAAACTGCCCTGATCACAGAAGGAAACACTAATTTTCTTATGAAAAAGATTGGTCAAGGAGACCTAGCAGAGAGGGAGTTTAGGCAATAACCCCCAATCCCATTTCCTCCTTCCCTTTAATCTCATGAACATGCATAGAAGGCAATGAGCAAGGGAACCGATGGAGATATTCAATATGGACCATTCCACTTGGACAAAAGCCAGTAAATAGGGGAGTATAACAGGGGACAAGGGCCAAACAGAAAGTATCTATTACATTTGCCAATGCAGATCAATCATGTCAACAATAGAAATGGCAGTTTTGGCATTTGGTTATTCAATGAAACTATATTTGTAGCTTTTTATTTACAATGTTTCAAGGTATGGGCGAAGATATGAAAATTTCATTATGTTCTATTGTATTTGAGATGTAAATGTTCTGGCACAATTATATACATTTTGGATTATATATTGACAGTAAATTATTTCTCCTTTGTTAGCTTCAGCATAACATTAATATTTTCAACAACTTGAATGCATACATTGTGTTCTCACTAATAGTTTAGAATAGCGAAGGGGTCTTTAAAGAATTTCTTATGAAGTAGAGGCATTGGGTCAGACAGAGCCGAAAACCATTGGCTTAGATTAATCACTATTTATCCTAGGGCTGAAGAGGGCCAATTGAAGACACAAATGTCCAATCCCTCTATAACCTTGGAGATCTATGAACCAGAGAAATAGAGACTGGATCTTAAGGAGGTAATAAGTGTGCCTTCTATGGTTTATAATAATATGCATTGTCTTAACAATTGAATACTTAAAAGTTAATGCCCTCATAATATGCAAAATTTTTAATAAGCACATTGGTCCCTGTGTTCAAGTAGTTGGTAATCAAATTAGTGAAGTATGGTAAGTCTTTTGAAGAGCATTAAACAGCAGAAAATGTAAGAAATTTGTCTCTATAATAGTGTGGGCCTTCTGTGTTTCCTAAGGGCACATTCATATGATCTAATAACTGAGCAGAGAGAAGCCTAAAGGATATTTTATGGTTTCATTTTTTTGTTTTTGCCAATTAACATATATTTCTAGATTAAAAGTCAACTATCTTTTCCTTGGGAGTCAACTATAGGAGAAGATAGTGAAGAGGCAAGGAAAATTACAGCAGCTCAACAGCTTTACCCTGGAAATATCTGTATTGTGTACCGCTATAGACTACCTTTATCAGTCAGATAACAATGTCAAAGAGGCAAGCTTGGCACCATTGTTCTTAGTGAATCTCTGCTGCCAGCCTTTTATCCTAAGTGCTCTCCAAAGACCCATTTAATGGACCTTTCTGAAATTGTGCTCAGGATCAATATGAGGCTCATTGATACAGCAGCTTTGGAACTCAGCATTTGCTTATTTATTAAACCTGGGATATTTGCCCGACTTCTATCATCTGAAATCCTCTCCATGACTTTCAAAATTACCAACATTGGTTCCAACATCATTCCTAGAAAACATTTCAGTGGAGTATATTTATCTGACATTTGACTGTATTTATAGCAGTAAGAATATATGATGATTCCTCCTAAAATAATCCCACAATTACCCACTTTGGGTCACCTTTGAGGGTCTTATCCTTAATATCAGAGATCTGTTCTATACATTTGAGTCTTAGAAATAATTACTAGCTTCTCTCTGAATTTAACTGAAGTTCCTTACTTTTATTCAGCCTGTTACCCAAATTACATAATGTATTGAAGGCTAAAAACTGTCCAAATTTCTGATTACCTTTAGTTAAAAATGGGAATATGAGTTTTTCTTTTTCTAACTTGGCAAAGATTATGTTTTTTTCATGAAGAAATACAGACATATTTAAACACTCAGGATCTGAGAATTTGAAATGCATGAAACTTAGCAGGTGGTCTTTAAGTAGTTTTCATTTCTAAATTTTAGTACATAGCATTGAATGCTACAGAAGAAAAGACAATGAGGGATTACTCATAAACATTGCCTTTATGATATCCTTCCAAAGAAAACCAAGTGTCCCTGTGCTTGGACTCATAAAGCAGAAATGCTTACCTTGCTTTTATGTCACTAACAAACAATTGTGCCTAGTCATTGAATTCTAATGCATTTAAGCCATCTTGAGAGTAGAGCCCTTAGGGAAAACTACAAATGGAAAATTCATTGATTTTTGATTTTGCTTTCCTATGGATCAAATTTAATACTTTCTTGTAAATCTCTCCCTTTGCAGATCATATGTGATAAATAGTTATCCAACTTTCTAGATGTCCACCCAGAGCTGCTTCCATATGAAGAGGTGGAAACGGATTCTGTGCATGATACTGGTTAGGATTGGGAACTGTTTTTTTTTAAAGGAGATTTTTAAAATTTGTTTTCCTTGTACACATAGCCATAATATTGTGTTGCTAACTGCCCTCTGGGAATAAAGTCATGTCAATCACAAATATATTGCCTAAAGTGGGAGGCTTATTACTCTGCTGTGAATTCCATCTCCTATTATGTTTTAAAGATGCTACAAACTTGAGACATTACTATGTAGACGACATTCCCAGCAAATCCCCAAACAACACTTAATGAGATTTCAAATACCAGGATCATGCAACAGTAAAAGATATAAGGAAATAAAGAAAAGCACAGTATATTTGTAGAAGGCATTAAAACACAAATTTTATAATTATGAATGCATATAATAAGGAACAAGTTTTATTCTAAATAGTAATTAAATCAGAACTATGATATAGGGAATAAAAGTGAATATTAAACCATTGTACCGACAATAACAGAGCCCTTTTTCTGCTGCGTGATGGAATTTAGTGTTTACTAAGGAAGAAAAAAAGCAAGATATCTTAAATTTGGTACTTTCCAACAAATTTAAGAAATGTGTACACACTTGAAGAGACTTAAGAAGTCTCTGACTAAAACACTAGAAAAGAAAAGCAGCGAAAAGCCAAATAACTATTACTCAACAATAACAACATTTGTTACTATTATATTAATATTAAACACACTATTAAACAACAACATTTCAGTTACTCACTGAGCCCAAAGTCATTTTTCATGAACCATTCACAACACTGATAACCTATTGAAAAATGATTGAAAACAAAAAAGCTTATTGCTTTCCAAGTCCTTTTAAAGCCTTCTCTTGTGTCATATAATCCTTATAACAAATCTATGGAGTATATACTGACTTTACCTCTGTACAGAAAAGAAAACTGAGTCATATTCAGAATAAGTTGCAAAGTTCCCCAGATAATCAGTGTCATAGGTGAAATTTGATGTCACAGTGTACTCAAGTGTAATTTAGGGAAGCAGTACAAATGACGGTTGAAAGCACAGGTTCTGGGGTAAACAGCCTGAAGTCAAAATCTAGTTCATATCCTCAGTGGCTGTGTGATCTTGGGAAATTTCCCTTAACTCTCTGTGTCTTGGTTTTATAGTTTCATCCATTTTTGCCTCTCATATGAGCTGGTGAGCATTACACTAGTTTATGCTTCTAGGACACTGAAAACAGTACCTGGCTCTTGATAAATATTAACAATTTTGTTTCATTGTCTTCACCTTGAGTATTTCATGGCCAGATGGAAATCAATGTCAATATGAAAAAATGTTCATAATTCAGCAGGAAGAAATACAAAACCATATAAACCACTTTGTTTTACTGGCAAGTGAATTGGGAAGCTATGTTAAATTGAGAAGGGGAAGGGAAACCCTCTAAGAGCATCGATTAATCAATGACCGAAAGCTGATGAGACTTTTCTGGAATTTTTTTTTGGAGACTCTGATACTTAAAATTTTGACAAAATAAGGAGATGAACTGAGTAGTGTGGAACAGACATTTTGTGAAGTCAGCAGAGAAAGGAGAGACAAATATGGTAAGGGGAAAATGGTATGAAGTAATAATATCTATGAAGTGCTTTCTAAAGTATAACACATGTAAGTTGTGTTAAATGTAAACTATCATGATTATATCATTACTGTCTGACTGATACAACTATATCCACCTCAGTTAGCCACATAAGATCAATTTTCCTATACCTTAGAGAATACCAGTAACCTCCAGTTCAGAAACAGCATAAATATCTATCCACAGCTGAGCAGACACATACAGCTAGCTACCAGATGAAATGGGCTATATCTTCAAATACTATTGTTTTCTGTTTTTTAATTGTGGCAAAACACACTCAACAATTTGCATCTTAACCATTGTTAAGTATACAATTCGGTGTCACTAAATGTATTCACAATGTTGTGCAAGCATCACCACCACCCATCTCCATAATTCTTTTTGTCTTGTAAAATTGAAATACTGTACCCATTAAAAGTGACTCCCCATTCCCCACCCCCCCAGGGCAACTACAGCTTTACTTTCTGTCTTGATGAATCATACAATATCAAATGTAATTTTTAAGATATTTAAAATATTTTGTCTGGAAGCAAAGTGGAAGTTAATATCAATGGCTATGCCTTCAGTGAGTTCTCAGACCACATTACAATGTAGTTAACTATTTATCTTTTATTACATTCTAGACCTATTATTTCTTTCTGGCACAAAAATATCTTCTTTGTAGATTATGGCATTAACCTCTATCTCCACACCATTTTGGTCTCTCATCCACAGATCATCAGCCTCTTGCTTAGTCTTCCATTTAATGACAATTTCTATTTAGTATACAACAGTCCTTCCCCCTGCAATGCAATTTCTTCACTCTTTAAAGCTCTGAGTCTGGCTACTGGCCTCTGTTATGTACTCATCCCTAGAGCCAAGTCTTCAAATATTTCTCAGAACTTCTTCACATCTAAAAATCTAGGATTAATTTATTGCTCTCTGATTATATTCTTCTGGTATTTCAAGTATCCTGTATAACTTCTTCATCTGCCCTTGCTTTTCTTCTACATCAAGATGTCAAGTTCATGGACTTCCCAATTAATCATTTTAAAAATGTATTTCAAGCCTTTATGAGTCACTAAAATATACATATGTTCTCAGGAATTATGGCCCTACAATTTGTATGTGAGAATAGTTCCTGTGTCAGGCATTATGGACATAAGAGGAAATAAATTCTAGTCCCTGCCTACAAGGAGCTAATTCCCAGCCTAAGACAGATTGCAAGCCAATAATATGCAGACTTGTAAGTCTAAGGAAACTGATCAGGATGTACCTAATTCGAGCTGGGAATATCAGAAGAAAAACTTTTTGAAAGTCATGAGACATGAGCTGTGCCTAAAAGAGTAAAAAATAGAGAGAGAAATAAGAAGAAATAAATTAAGGAATGAGATGGGTATAATAGTAGAAAAAGGAAATCTCTTTAGATAAAACAGGGTATGAGAGTATATAGGAGGCTTATTAACTCAGTGTGGTTGGAGAAAACAGGTTGAAAGGAGAAATAGGGGAGAAAGTTACAAAGGGAATCAAACGTGTTAGTAGTTGAGGGAAAAGCAAATATTGAATACGACCCATAGATCTTGGATAACCCAGTGTTTGGTAGTAGCTTACATAAAAAGTTGTGACAAAATAACCAGAGATATGCGGAGAAAATAATAACTGAGTGTTATATTTCCTCTCAGTAGAAACCTTAAAAAAAAAATGTAATCACACACTGATCTTTTAACTGACCTCCACTTATCTTGCTGCCTGGATTGGCATACATATTCCTCTGCCTGAAAAATTGCTCAATACTTTTGAAAGGTTGTTTCTCACTGTTACACCCAGGCATTTCTGCTAACACCAGCTGAGTTGTAAGGGGCCCTCCAGGAGACCTAGGTTGTTCTCCTTATCACATACATTATTTTCATTTATCAATTTACCCAGAACATCTAATGAAATATTATGGACACCAATAACATGAATACAAATATAGCTATAGACCCTAAAAAGTAAATTGATGTCTCTTGAAAGGCTGTCATGTCTTAGATGCTAAATTTGGAGTATGTGTTTGTAATAAATAAATAGCTTGCTTTAATAATTCTGATTTATGAATGTAATATAGGGGAGCAGCTTTTATTTCGCCCTTAATCTTAAAAAACAATTAGCTGGGTGTGGTGGTGGGCACCTGTAGTCCCAGCTACTCAGGAGGCTGAAGCAGGAGGATGGTGTGCACCTGGGAGGCGGAGCTTGCAGTAAGCCAAAATTGTGCCACTGCACTCCAGCCTGAGTGACAGTGTGAGACTCTGTCTCAAAAAAAAAAAAAAAAAAAAAGATCATACATGGAGTAAATGATGATTTAGCATAAAACACAACTTTAGCCTAAAATACAGATCATAGGGCTCAAACTTTGTTATTTTATGGGATTATACTAATCAGTTAATATTCAAAATTTACCATTTCAAAAGAAGAAATATTGGTCAGGGAAAATTGCCATTGCTTATACAGAAGAATGGAGGAATCTTTTTGACAACAACAATTCTAGTGATCTTCCTCATCACTGGTTCCAAAACCAAGCCCATGGAAGGTCTGCATAGGGATAATGTGGAGAACATGCAAGAGAAATACACATCACCAGCTCCTCAACTCAGAGCTCCAAGGGAATGGCCAAGGAAGCTGTATTGTCCTAAGAAATTTGAGACTGTTTTGACTTACAATAAATCCTGCTCAATCATATGTATGTATACACACACACACAACCACACACACAGACGGTGTTGTCAGTGAAGCCTCTAACAATGCATCTTGACTGGACAGATTTGACAATTAAAATGGCTGGAAGAAAATAGGCTTCATAAGTGTCACTTACTATTCACATTACACATTAAAAGGACATCTCCTAAATTAAATCTTGTCTATGATAAAAAGGCAGAAAATCATGACCCAAGGCTCATTTATAACTGCAGAAATGTTCAAGATAGACCAAGGCTTGCTATGTTTAGGAACTGACAAGTACAGGTCTTTATAATCTACCATTTTGCCTCATTTGATACCAGGTGACCTTCATAATGCAGGCAATAGAGAATTGCAAGATTTGTCAGAGATTTCAGGTCTTTGGAAAGCTATGTTCTTTCACAAGAACAGCCATGGAAACAGGAAGAAAGTCAATTCCCACTTAAGGTAATCAGAATTTACAAATATTCCTCTCTTCATTGAAATCTCAATAGGCACTTCAATATTATATTTAATTAATTCTTTTGTTACAATCATGCATCACATAACAACATTTTGGTCAAGGATAGTGCACATGTATGACAGTGGTGCAATAAAATCATAACGCTGTACTTTTACTGTACCTCTTGTATGTTTAGACATGTATAGATACACTTACTGTATAGATATAAGTAAGTATAGATATACTTAACTGTTGTGTTACAATTGCCTACAGTATTCAGTACAGTAACATGCTGCACAGGTTTGTAGCCTAGGAGGAATAGGCTATACCACCTAACCTAGATATGTAATCAGCTATAGCATCTAGGTTTGTGTAAGTAAACTCTGTGATGTTCATACAATAATAAAATTGTCCAGCAATGCATTTCTCAGACACACCGCTGTCATTAAGTGACACATGACTGTATTAGTTAACACTATGGGAACTTCATGGGAAATGGACACTCTAGCTCCACCATAAATAGAAACTTTTTATGTCAAAAAACACATAAAAGCATAGTTGCAAGATTACATTTCCTTCCAGATATTTCATTTAGTATCTCCACAGATCACTAACTTCCTGAATAGCATTCTTGTGTCTCCACTGCCTCACATTTGATTTCAGGTCATTCCATCAATTATCAAAGACGCATCCAACATTAACTTTCCAACTACTGGTTTGGATTGTGTCAACATTGTCATTCTGGACCACAACAACACAAAAGGCTAACTCAGTGAGGTAACATAGACACTGATCAGTGAGATTTTGCTGATGGATGGTACCATTTTTTACCAAGATCAAGGTTATTCATACCTTCAGGCATCTAGATAACATTGAAAAGGGTAGTTTCATAGATAAAAAGGGAAAGATGAAGGGTTTTTGCACTATACATGAGCTACCATGTCTCCTGTTTAACCTGAGTCTGAAGAGATTCAAAGTGCAGGTGCCATGAATGCCTCTTTAATAGCTCCAAGTCGATTGATTTTCTGGGCTACACTTCCCAGCATTCAAATTGCTAAATGCATATAAACTACTACTGAATATTTATTACCTGGATTTGTGCTTTTGAGTGATCTTATCTATAGTTATGTGCTTCAGTGATCCAACTTGGGGTGCACTCCAAACTTTGATAAATTAAAGACCCTGCTTATTCCTTGAGTAATGCTACACTGACAACTGATTTAGTGAATGCCACTGTGAAAATAATAAACCTCTTGGTGAATATATTTAGACATGTCTTGTAACCTGTACACATCTTAACCAGGGATGTTACTTGGTCTTTCTATGTTCAGGAGTGTGTGGAGATAGAAAAACATACAGGATTGTAATTGTTGCCTGTGAGACTAACAGAAAATTCAAGCTAGTGAAGTATGCTTATGCATGGCACACTTCTCACCAACAATTTTAGGAAGTTCTACCCACAACCCATATGTCTTTTGATATGTGGGTTACCTTGGATAGAGAAAAAGAAACTCTGAACACAAGCATGAAATACTTTAGAATTTTATCTAGAGTTGGACTTGTCCGAAAGCTTTTGTATAAACTTGCTTGATGAGCAACTGTTGTCCACTGGTACCTTCACTGTACAATCCACACACAACAAAACTTCACAACTGGACACCTAAATTTGCACTTTGTTTGGTAAAGTTGAATGAAAAATGTTGTCTTTTAAGCTTATGCTCTCTTATGAAAGCTGTTATTAGATTAATTTTACTCCAAGATATGCCAGTTAGGAAATAACTTCCCATTTAATTTCACCAGCTCCCTGTGGGTGGACTAATTACTCACACATCACACTTACTCTGGTGGTGAAATGCCTCGAAAGAAGGTCTCCAGAGTGTTGCTCTACCTAGAAGGACAAGAATGAAGAGACATAAAAATCATTCATTAAGAAGGAAGAAGATTTTCCTTGCCTAGATTTGCACTTGTAGGATCCAATTAATTTTATCACTTAATATTTTGTCCTGGTGGGCATTCACTTTACAAATTTGTAAGGTCAGTAGAAATGGAAATCAAACTGTAAATGTTCTGTAGACGTTGACAGAAATAGCTATTTGGAGCTGTGCTTTTGCCAACTAGACACTCTGAGAAAATCTGTGAGAGGATATTTTCAGGAAGTCATTGAACCCCCTAAAAATCAAGTTTATTGCTTTTACCATAAATATAAATAATTTATTTACTATCAACCACTTTCAATATTCCAATAAGTAACTTTGTTGTTTATTTCATTGACATGATCTACATAGACATGCAATTTATCTTCTTTTGCGATACATTCAGAAAATTTGCTGCCTGGAAAAGCCATGTTTTGAAATTACCACCTGTTTGATGATTTTTTTTTTATACTTTAAGTTTTAGGGCACATGTGCACAACGTGCAGTTTAATTACATATGTATACATGTGCCATGTTGGTGTGCTGCACCCATTAACTCGTCATTTAGCATTAGGTATATCTCCTAATGCTATCCCTACCCCCTCTCCCCACCCCACAACAGGCCCTGGTGTGTGATGTTCCCCTTCCTGTGTGCATGTGTTCTCATTGTTCAATTCCCACCTATGAGTGAGAACATGCAGTGTTTCATTTCCACTTAAGTATCTATCTCTATTTGTCCTTTATTTTCACTTCCATCCTAGCTCTATCCCTTGTCTCCTTCATGTGTCTCAGGATAAGTGCCCTATAATATTTTATATTTCTGGAAACCCTTCAATATAAAGTTATTACATGTAAAAATAAAAAGTCTGTTTTAGCAAACTTTTTCTTCACAAATTATCTTTTCCTAGTTCCCTATTGGACAATTTTTGTAGGCTCCATATGCTATTAATTTATATTCACTTTTAGAAGAATTTTCATCAAAAGCAAAAGTCTTATGTAAATTGTTTATATGCTATTTGTACTTCTATGTATATATACACACATAGCCACATACATATATGTAACTCCGGAGGCCTGCCTGGACTGTTAAATAACTGTATTGAACAAGAGCAAGAAAAAGCTGTTCAAATTTCAAACAACAAGTTGAACTGAAGAGTTCACATCTTTGAATGAAATAGACACTAGTAGCCTTTAAAAATTAAACATTTCTACTGTTTTAAAAAATTATAGCCATCATAGTATGAGGAAAAATGTAATAATCCTTTTTAATTCTTGCCATTTTATTAACCACAGAGTCCTTATGCCCTGACTTCATTGGTACCCCTTTGAGATTAAACAGAACACTTAATTTAAAATTCTGATAAATAAATTAATTACACCATTTACTTGAGGTACTCTTTCACCTTTCAAGAAATATTTTGAGAATTCATTAGCTAAACATTGCTATAATGCAGGCTAGTAATAAATGGAAATAATGATTTCATTGTAAAGTTTAAACTAATGATGGTATGATCTGGAATTTTTGTTAACCTAGAAGACATAATTAGCTCTAGAGGTGAAATGAAAGACAAAATCACTTCACATATTAGTAAAAAACAAATAATATAACTTTATAAGCTACTGCTGTTCTTTTGCTATTAAGAATCAATGACATCTGTAATTAGGGAAGATTATGGAAAGGTTAAAGGTGAGAATACATGCAGTCTGTCGACAGGAAACCTAAACAGTTTAGGTTAAGGAAAGGTCTGCGAAAGTCATATAAATTATCAGGTTCACAGGAAACTGACATTTATTGTATAAATTCCATGGTCAAATGTATTAGGGCTCCACGCACACAACTGTGCACCATCTATGTTACCACACAGTGCTTACTTCTTTCAGTCTTTATTCATTTCTCTCCTAATGGTCTGTATGGTATTATTACATAGTTCTAAAAACCTTCCATGAGGCAGAAATTTCATTTAATGATATAGCTTTGAAAATAATGAAAAACAGTAGAAACTTTCTACTTTTTTATGAAGCAGAATTGTTGAATTTTCAGTTTCATTTATTTAATGTTACAAGATGACAAACAAATTTCTTTAATTCCTTCTTGTTACTTTTGTCTAACATCAACCAAGGCCATTTCTTTCATTTGAAGGTGAAAACTGCTCATCAAAATCCAGTTTAAGCTGAGAAACAAAGAACTAAATTTTGCATGAGAGATTATACACTGCATAAGTATAAAACAGGACCAGAAACAATGGTGGATTAACAATTTTTAAAAAGACAAAAGCAGGTTATCATTAAATCAATTCTTACCAACACACCAATTTCACCTCTAGGCCAGAAAATTAGCCACTTACCCACGGGAAAACAATGATTGAAGACAAAGTCCACCAGTGAAAGTTGGTTATTTATTTTCCATCCTTACATCAACTAAAATGATATCTACAGTTCCTCTTAACACTTTTCTTACTTTCAAATATGTGGGTATGCTTCATTAGCTGAGGCCATGTTCCATATGCACATCTGGCTACAAGGGAAACTGGGAATGTGAGCCCTGATCCTAATGTTTGTAGAGTATTTAGAAATTTGAGAATTCCCTCCAAATAAAGAGTTTTTTAAAACATTGTTAGACAAAAAGTTTGAATTACAAAATGTGGTAGTAGCTCAGGTCTAACTCAAATGCAGGGAAAAAACTATTAACTCTAAAAAAAATTAAATACACATTTGATGGTAATGAGAAACAGAAAACAGGCAGAAATAGTAGAATATTCAACCACTGATGAAGTATTTGACCATTGAATAAAGAAAATTGCAATGATTTAAATTTGCATCAATGTAACTTCACACCTGATGACACTTCCCAGTCTGTGCAAAATTAGATGTCTAAGAGTAAAGCGGTGAGTTTTACTAGCTTGAGGAATAAGAGTACAGAGTTCCAGGCTGACAGAAAAGAAGAACTGGGAAATTTGAATGACATGGGAGGACATCTCACACAACTGAAAGTCACAGAGGAGAATGTCACAGAGTAAAAATCTAAAATCAGCACTTAAACTTCATTCAGATATATGATGGCTGCTACATTTCACATTCATAAAAAGAGACTCCATAGAATCTAGCAGAAAACAACAGCTAAATTGCTAGTACAGAGCAGAGATTTCAACCATTGCATATAGCTCAGGAGTGAAAGTTTGGTGTTTGACTACAGAAAAAAGACTAATGTTAGAAAAGAGTCACTCTTCAAAGGAAAATAAAAGAGCCTATCTCTACAAAATATCATACACATAATCTAACATATAATTTAACCTGCCTAGACATAGAACCAGGAAAATATGACACATAACAAAAAAAGTAAACAATGGATTAAGACATTGAAATGGCCCACATGCTGGAATTAGAAGATAAGAAATTTAAAATAAGCTATTATAAGCATATTCAAGGATTTAAGGAATAGATGGTCATAAGAGGGAATATATGGAGAATCTCAACAGAGAAGTAAAAATGATAAAGAGATAATAGGACAAATTTTAGAACTGAGAGACAGAGTGTCTTATATAAAAGTGTCATTTTATGCACATACCAGTAAATTAAAGATGGCAGAAAAAACTATCAGTGCACTTAAAAACAGATCAAGAACAATTTCCCAATACAGCTAATACAAAGGAGAAAAATAATAAAAATATGACCAGTCTAGCACTAATATAATTGGACTCCTAGAAAGAGTAGAGAAGAAAATGAGACAGAAAAAGCTATTTGAAAAAGTAAAGACCAAAAGTTTTCCTAATTGTCAGCATATATCAACTTACAGGTTTAAGAAACTCAAAGAACAGAATAAAAATATACAGAACCAAATGTAGACATACCATAGTCAAACCACTGGGCAAAAAAAAAGAGTAAATCTTGAAAGTAGCTAAAGGGAGGGAGAAAATAATTTACATACGTGGAAACAAATAGGTCATCTACCTGTCATCAGAAATGACACTTTAAAAAGCAATGAAACTACATCTTTAAAATAAAAAAAAACTGTCAACTCCAAATTCTATAACTAGAAAAAGTAATTCTTGCGAAAATAAAGATTTATTCAGATAAAAGAAAGCTTCGAACAATTGTCATTAGCAGACCTAGATACAAGAAATGCAAACGGAAATTTTTTAGACTAAAGAAAGATAACAACAGATGGAAATTCTGACCTACAGGAAGTAAGGAGAAGCTCTAGGAATGGCATGTGCATAAACAGGAAAAACTAAGGCTTTTTTCTTTTAGTTTTATAACAAACAACTGATGGTTTAAATAAAAAATTAAGAGTACTATTAATAATGTATGTAGAGTAAAATATTCTAAATTAATAGCTCTGACAGGAGACTAAACGCAACAATTTTGCCACAACTTTTCTTTATGTTACATGAAAATGTTGACTATTAACAGTAAGTGGACTGCGATAAGCCCAGGATGTTTATTACAATCCCTAGAGAACCACCACATTATATGAAGATATTCTTCTAAAATGCCAATAAAGGAATTAAAATGGAACGCTGAATATTGTTCAGTTAATATAAAAAGGCATGAAAGAAAGAACAGAGGAGCAAAAAATGATGGAACAAATAGAAGATAAGAGCAAAATAGGCTGGGCGCGGTGGCTCAGCCTGTAATCCCAGCACTTTGGGAGGCCGAGGCCAGTGGATCACGAGGTCAGGAGATCGAGACCATCCTGGCTAACACGGTGAAACCCCATCTCTACTAAAAATGCAAAAATTAGCCGGGCATGGTGGTGGGCACTTGTAGTCCCAGCTACTCCGGATGCTGAGGCAGGAAAATGGCATGAATCCGGGAGGCAGAGCTTGCAGTGAGGCGAGATCCCGCCACTGCACTCCAGCCTGGGCGACAGGGCCAGACTCCGTCTCAAAAAAAAAAAAAAAAAAAAAAAAAAAAAAAAAAAAGCAAAAATAGTAGGCTTAACTCCAACCTTATCAATAATTATTTCAAATGTAATTTAAATACTCCAAATAAAACACAGATTGTCCAACTATATAATAAAAGTACCTATAAGAGATGCATGCCAAATATTATGGTATAGATAAGTTGAGAGTTAAATAATTTCCAAGTATACCAAGGAAACAACAAGCACAAGAAATCTTATGTGGCTATATTAAGAAAAAGTAGACCTCCAAACAAGCAATATTACAACAGAAAGCTATTTCATAATGATAAAATGTCAAGTAATTATGAAGACATAATGCTGTATTGCTGATAGAATAACTAAAGAAAGTTAAGGTAAAATAATTTTGACAACACCCTGACCTAATCAATATTGACCAAGAAAATAGAATATATGTTCTATTATGCTACACATGAAACATTTATCAATAGGCTATAGACCACAAAATATCTCTCAAGAAGTTTCAAAACACTGTAATCATAGAAAGTATACTTTCTGACCATAATGAAAATGAGTTGAAATGGGTGAAAACAAGCTACCCAGGAAAGTCTACACTATTGGAAGATTTAAATACACCTTAAAATGCCCTTTAGCTCAAGAAAGAAATCATAAGAAACACCTTAAAATACATTGAACTGAATACAAATAAAAATATACTATATCAAAATATGTGGGATAAGTTAAGCAGACCCAGAGTAAATTTTTTGTATAAATGCTTATTCTAAAAAAGAGAAGTTCAAAACAAGTGCACTAATTTTCTACCTTAAAAAGAAAATCTAAAACAAGAGAGCAAATTAAGTCCAAAACAAGTAGAAGAAAGAAAATAAAACAGAAATTAGAAATCAATGAGACAGAAAACAGACACAGGAGAAAATTAACATGGCCAAAAGTTAGTTCTGTGAGAAAGAAAGAAAACGCAAATTATAAATATCAGGGATTAATAAGATTGTACAGTTGTAGACACAAGAGACATTAACAAGATAATGGAATATTGTGAAACATTTTATACTAATTTTCATTACTTGGATGAAAGGGTGAATTCCTTGAAAAGAAACTTATAAAAAAATTCACAAGATTAAATGGAATATATGAAGTAATTGACATTTATTAAAGTAATTAAATTGTCAAATACCTGCACATAAAAACATAAAACTAAAGAAATTAAAAAATAAGCAAACTCCACATCCAAAGAGTTTTACTGGTGAATTCTTTCAAACGTTTTAAAAAAATAAAATTTTTAAATTATTTCAGAAGAAGGGGGAAATTCCAAACTTGTTTTATGAGTCAGAATCCTCATAGCAAAACTACAAAACCCAGGAATGCAAAATTGATTTCAACTTAAAGGGCTATCACCATTCTAATCTGTGATTCTAATTAATTTGGCTATCTTAGATACTTTATACAAGTGGAATCATACAGTTTGTCCTTCTGTGACTGATTTACTTTACGTAGCATTAATGTCCTCTAGGTTCATCCATGTTGCATATTGCCGGATTTTCTTGTTTTAAAGCTGAATAATATTCCGTTGTATGAATATACCACATTTTCTTTATCTATTCATCTGCCAATAAACATTAACCTTATTTCCACATTTTGATTAGTGTAAATAATGCTGCAATGAGCCTGAGAATCATCCCAATCTCAATTCTTTCAGATAAATAACCTGAAGTGAGATTGCTAGATCATATGGTAGTTCTACTTTCTTAATTTTTTTGAGGAACAACTGTACTGTTTTCCATAGAGGCTGCACAGTTTTACTTTCCCAGAAACACTGTACAAGTGTTCCAATTTCTCCCCATTGTTAACACTCGTTATCTTTTTGTTTTAATAAGACCATTCTAACAGGCTTGAGGCAATATCTCTTTGTGGTTTTGATTTGCATTTCCCTGATGATTAGTGATGCTGAGCATTTATTTCATGTACCTGTTGGTAATTTGGATATTTTCTTTGGAGAAATATCTATTGCTGATTAAAAAAAAAAAAAAACTCTCAGCAAGCTAGAAAAAGAAATTTTCTCGAAGTGGTGGAAAGCATCCACAACAAAACATATAAACAATATTATATTTAATTGTGAAAGCGTAAATGTTTAAACCACATAGATTAGGACAAGAAAAGGATGTGTGTGTTCATCACCTCTATTCAAAATTTTACTGGTGATCCTAGATTGAGTATAAATATTTAGGGGATAACTATTGTCACTGAAGCCCAAATCTTGGTCATCCTCAGGAAAAAAAAAAAAGTTGATTAGGTTGTATATAATCTAATTCTACTTGCTAATTTAATTTCTCTAAAATTACAGCTTGTATCAACTCTAGAATTTATTGGGCACCTCCTAGGACATAAACACTGGAATTTTGTGAGAGACATCAAATAGGAAAGAACCTGGCTCTGACATAAATTCAACACACGGAGGGGGACACACGTTATGAGACTGACCTGGCCTCTTCATCTCATAAAAGGGGTTCTTGTTGCTGGTAACACAGATTAAAACTATTTCAATTACATTCAAGGTAAAAAGATTAGCAATGATATGTAAGATGAAAAAATCACCCCGCAGGAAGACAAAAGTCTCACAAAAGGATATTTAAACTAGCCAACACTTTGAAATTTAGGCAGAGATCGTGCTTTCTGGGTGAACTAAAGTAGCAAGAACAAAGTAGAGGCTCCAATTCTAGGAAAAATGGGCCCTAATAAGGTTTACAATCCAGAAACTCAAGATATCCAGACAGAAGGATGCATTCTCCGCTTTCAAGGCAGTAGCAGTACCTGGATTACTATGCCAATCCCCAACACAATCATAAACACAAATTTGATTGAGGAAGAAGGTTGCCCACCAGAAGATTTAGGTTATTACAAGGTAGAATGTGATAGAGAAAACGAGCATGGGACTGGAAACAAGAGGAGGTAGCCCCATGATTACAACTGGAATATATCTGTCAGAGATGGTGTGGAAATAAGACTGAAGAGAGAGCTCCTTAAACCCCACGTGCCTTACATCAGGACTAATCCTGGACACAGGCTGGAAAGCATAGCCTACAGGTGGTGAGGGAGGAGGAGTGGACTCAGCTGTGAGAAGGAGAAGGAAATATGGCTGAAAACCAGATACGGGTCTTGAAATCACACAGAGGATTTGGGCCTTTGCTGCTGTCTGCCAGCAGCTGCCAGTAGTTCTCACACTTTGGCTGGCATCAAAATCACCTGGGGCAGTGGTGGGGAAGTGGGGGGAGTGTTGTAAAACCACAAGTGACCAGGCAAAAAACACCTGTATGTTTTCCAATTCAGTAAGTACAGAAATATTAATTGGAAAAAGGTGGACGTCAGACATTGATAGTGCTGTGGTCTGCTCCAGAGACGTAAGCATGATCTTTAGAGAGGTAACTCTCATCAGTTGAGGGCAACCACTGGACAGAAAGAGGTCCAGACCAACCGTAAACAGAGACATCATACAAATACACTTTAGCAACCTCTCCAAATAACATGTCTCTTAGTGAAACTTAGGTGGTTGAAAGTTAAAAACATAAAATCCCGTGGCATTTATGTATCCTAGGGACTTACATTTGTCTGATTCTTCCAACTTGCCTTTGCTTGGTTAGAGTTTTGGGTAGACAAGAGGTGGATTTACATGTGCCATTGTGAGAACTTTGATACACTCATTTAGACATTGACCTACTATCTTGATGTTTGAAAGCTAAAACCCAAAGAAATTTGTCTTTTTACATAAAACAAATTCAGCCCTTACCTTTCTTGTCGATTACATCTTCCACTAGCAGTAATAAAAAAGTAACAATATGCATAAGTCAAAGTATCTTCTTAGATCCTCTGTAGTGTTTTATTATTTTGTTGTGTTAATTAAAGTAACCCTCAAAATTTCAAGGAATGCCTGAGAAGCAATTCGTGTTCAAAGGCTGCCCTCTTGCGACAATGTGTTGTATGTTTTACTGTAAAAGTAATCTTATTTTACCTTATAACCTCTACAATCCAATTCATAACAACATAAAAAGGAAATAAAACCTTACATAATTTTGAATTTTAAAAAGTACCTTGTTTATATGGCTCCTTTAGCTAATGAATAGTCAATTTGGTAAATATTCCAGTGAGTTGAAGGCTTGAATCCATCTCACTTAACTAGCTTGATGGATGTATTTCTAAACCTATACAACCCACTCCTCTGCTTTTAAAAAATCAAAGTTAGCTGTAGATTGAGATGTCAGTGACACAGTTTATAGAACATAACTTAGATTGTGATCTACATTACTGTAACTACAAATACCACCCTCAGATGGAAGAATCAGTTTTATCAGTGAACATCTCTAATTGAACTATAAATAGTGTATGTCTTCTGGCTTTTACAAGCTCTTGGTCTAACACAGGGGATATATGATGTAAAACTTACAAAGCAGGGTCACTCACGGTGGCTCATGCCTGTAATCCCAGCACTTTGGGAGGCCAAGGTGGGCGGATCACAGATTCAGGAGATCGAGATCATCCTGGCTAACACGGTGAAACCCCATCTCTACTAAAAATACAAAAATTAGCTGGGTGTGGTGGCACACACCTGTAGTCCCAGCTACTCAGTAGGCTGAGGCAGGAGAATCACTTGAACCCAGGACACGGAGGTTGCAGTGAGCAGAGATCGCACCACTGCACTCCAGCCTGGTGGCAGAACAAGACTCCAGCTCAAAAGTAAATAAATAAATAAATAAATAATAAAATAGCAGTGACTATAATGTTTTGTGATGTTAAACTTTGGGAGCTTTTTTTTTCTTTCTTTTCCCAAGTCCCTTTCCCAGTTCCAGGAGCAGAGATATTCTAAGCTCACTGATGTAAAGGAATAGAAAGAAAAGGTTTGGTGGAAAACCTAATAACCTGCTATCTTTCTGTCTTTTCTTTTTTAAAAGCTTGAGCATTTGGGAGAATTTGGAAAGATTGTGGAGTAAGTGCAAAGAAGGAATTTGCTAAAAAAAATTATATAGGGTAAAATGAGTTTTTTCCAGGTTAGAAAATATCCACTCCCTACCCTCCTACATTCCTTTCCCATGGTTAAGAAGAGGAAAAAACAAAGGCCTCTTGGTGAACAGTGGTGACTTAGGCAATTTCTTAGAAATATTCTAGAAAGCATAGTCATCTTTTAAAAAAAAAGTAGCTACAAGGATATGTCTAAGCAGAAGGGACCATGGGCCAAATTACGTGTAGATTTTTGCATTCCAATTATGGTAAAGAAGAAGCAGGAAGCTGGGGGGCCTAAACAGGCCACACAGAAATGGACAAGGAAGAGGCCAGCAGCAGCTTGTGGGGACAAGATGTCAAGCCCCAAATTTTAAACCCACCAACCATCCTCCAAAGTCTGGCTCTGTTTAACAAGGCTGCGGTCTGACACTAGATGCCGCCTCAGTGACTAAAGCATAATTTCCCGTCTCCTGGGAGTGTTGACAGCTGACTCCTGGCAACAATACTCACAGCACAGTAAAGTTCCTTCATCCAAGTTCATATCCCTTCTCAAGGCATCCCACATCCGAGAACTGCTTGGTACAGAAATATAATGGCCTTGTTTTCTTGCTCCAATTCCAGGTCATTAGGTAAACTCACCAAGATCCCTGTAGAGTGGACTGCAGCCATGATAGTGATTGCATTCTAGCCGACTTCCTGCTCCGCCCAATCCTATTGCTTTCACTCTCCCACAGGTGTTGGGAATATCATTTCAACCTCCTTGCATGCAAATCTCCAACTCGGAGTCGGCTTCCTAGGACACCTGACTGGTGATATCTCTATCACTATCACGGTACTTAGAGGGGACCATCTTAAAATGATTGAAGGCTAACTGCCCTAACAGCACTGGCAGATGGTGGCTTAAAATAGAATTTAAGTGGACTTAAAAAAAACATGAAAAAAGTTGACATTGCACGCTCATATGAGCTTATGGATCAAACCATGTGTATGAGTTCTAAGATCCCTCGTGCAGTATATATTTGCACTGTTTATAAATGACATCCCCTTGAATTGAATTCAGTGCAATTCAAAACAGTAATTTGTGGGAAAAATTAGATATGCAGATAGCCTGGACTCTAGAGAGGCACACATCATTTGGAAAATAATAGTGAACCGGCTGGTCTATGAGGGAAGAAAACAGAGTGAATATAGACTATTAGTGAACAAGGATATTTTCCCATGTATATTCAAATTAAGGTGAACTTCTTTAGAGAATTGTGCCTTAGAAAGAAAAAGTATTTCCCTATATTTGAGTCCTCACAAGTTTTCCTACGATGAGTGCTTTTGTGATTATTTTGAATAACAAAGTAATATTTAAAGAAACTCTATTGCCCTGAATGTACTTTACATCAATTGATGTTGCATATAGAGAGCATCAGAGTCAAGCCACAAGAAAAGGAGGAACATAACTTAGCAAAGACTTAGAGGATTAGTCCTAATAGTGTGAAATCAAAAGTTCAAGTGAGGGAATAAATGCAGCTTTTAATGATTACTTAAATGAAGTTTAACTCTAGCAGGATCTACAAGAAATTGGCAACCTTTGGCTTCAGTAACAGAAACTCAGGATATATGCCCTTCAGTGCTTTTGGATTCCGCATCATATTGAGAGCGACTCCTTTAAGCAAGCAATAAGAAACTTCCTGTGACAACATAATAAATTCAAAAAGTTCTGTAACTCAGACAATTTAGATAGAAGTGAGGACTTTGGCCTAGACAGCCCTGTTCACTCTAAAGATGGATTAAACAAGGAAAAAGATATTGATATCAAAAATTCAATCAGGAATTTGATTAAAGCATTTCATTAAATGTGATAATTTCTTAGTATATTATCTTACATATGCAATATTCATGTGTAACAAATTAAATACAAGTAAACATTTGAGCATATTATCTGCAGCATAATTTACATATCAATTTACATATTCAGTTTTGCTCACATGAAAACTTGGATCTTCTCAATAAGAAAATTTGTGAAATCTTTAATTCCTCATCCCCAGGAATGTAAATAAATAAATATAAATATAAGTCAGTGATTTTTTCCTAGGAAGACAGTAAAATTACTTTACACGCCTTCTCATTGTAAACCTAAATAACAAACAGAGAAAGGTTCTCTAAAGGAAAAAGACACATCTTAGGGAGGAGGACACTGCAATGGGAATATGCATGACAAAGCAAACTGTGTAGATTCAAATGGTAAAGGAAGACAAGGTCTTTAAAAGAAAAGCGATCAACCTGGAATTATGGGGGAGTAGAAAAAAATAAATAAAGGAAAAATGAAGAGGCTTCTATAATTGTTTTGTTATAGTTATCTTTGACTATAAAGATCAACAACAAGGTCGATGTCAGTTGAAGTTTGAGCAGGTGGTTGCTGGATAGATGTCCTCACAGAAGTGTATTTTGTGTAAGGTTGCTATGGCCTTTGTGCAAGGTTGTGGATTTTGTGGTATTTTGTGACAGTTTGTATCAGGCCTAGAAGCACGAGAACCCTCTCTTCAAGGCCTTCTCTGAATCTATTTGTCCAGGTTTTTTCTTTTCTTTTTAAAGATTACTGACAGTTTTGATTCTGATAACTTTTATATCATGATCCCTAATTTCAAAAAAAAATTAAACGTGTAACTTTATGATGTATTTGATAGGCTTGGATTTATGAATCACCTCTACTATCTATAGTGGTAGATATATCTGAGCCTACTTACACAGCACTTCCATCAGATTCTCTCTTCAGTGGAATTGGAAGAGGGGGGTTTTGGAGAAGGGAATGAAGGAATTGTGCTGTATCAGAGGTCCCCACCTAACAGCACAGGGACTTTTTCTGTGCTCTTGCCAGGCCGTTGTATTAGGCTGATACAAAAGTAATTTTGGTTTTGTCATTGAAAGTAATGAGACCATCTGACTTACAATGTCTATGTCATAACCAACTCCTAATAGCCTCCTAGGACAGCTTTGCCCTGACATACACTGTCCTGGAACCACGTCTGCTTTGTAACTCCTGAGGTAGCTGCCACCATGACCAATGCCTTCTCATCTTTACTCTACATGCAGGTAACAGTTATAATTATATCTCTGTGTATTCACAGAACATCTAGTACATCTGGGACTTCTACAAAATTTCCCTAGCTGATTTTGGTGTTCTAGTGTCCTGGCAGCTCTAGCCATGAAGGGATGATGCTTTATCAGCATTTCTGTTGAGTTTTTTTTCCTTTTTCTCACAAACTGATTCCACTTTTCCCACATACGTTTGACAATTCATTTGAACTCATTTATTCTAAACCCATTATTTTTTGTCTATTATTTAATAGGGTGGGGGGCGAGGGATAAAAGATAACAAATAAGGTGCAGTGTACACTGTTCGGGTGATAGGTGCACCCAAATCTCACAAATAACCAGTAAAGAAGTTATTCATGGACCCGAACCAAATACCACCGTACCCCAATAACCTATGGGAAAAAAAATAAAAAATACAATAAAAAAGAGTCAGAAAAAAAGAAAATAATCACTGTACTTACCATGACACTTAGAAATGGTGGCTAGCATTATTTGTGTCACCTAATATTATTATTTTTTCTTTATGCTACAAACTAGCTCTGCTATTACAATCACTACTATTTGAAGTGTTACTAAATTAAATTAAATTTATTGTATCCTTCTGGACTCAGAAATGGGGGTAAATGCTAAGACAATTTCAGAATATTATCACATATTAAAAGCTTATTATATGGGGAAAATGTGATTTTAAAAAAATAGAAATTGGTAGAGAAACAGTTTTTGGGTCTCTTTGATTTCCGCACATTTTGCAAGTATGGACGCTGACTTTCTTGTTCCAAATGATAGTTTTCAAGCATGTTTGTATAGAAAACAGCCTTGGAATAGAAAACCAGTACCTCCTTCTGGAACAAAGGAAAAGTTTATTTACTGTCTAGTATAATGCAGATAATTTCTCCCTCTTGGGAAGGGTACAGCCAAGTGAACTTCCCATAATACAAGTTGAGGTTTCTTGAGCTTGGGTTTTTCTTCCACAGCGTAATGTGCAGGTGCCACTTGGCTCTCTTTGTGTTACCCTGGGAAAGCTGATGGCTGTAGGTGCATGTTTATTTTCGGGTTCTCTATTCTGTTTCATTGGTCTTTGTGTCTGTTTTCATATCGCTACCATGCTATTTTGTCTATTGTGGCCTTAGGGTATAGTATGAAGTCAAGTAATGTGATGTCTCCAGCTTTGTTCTTCTTGCTTAGGTTTCCTTTGGTTGTCTGGGCTCTTTAAAAATCCATATGAAATTTAGAATATTTTTTTTCTAATTCTGTGAAAAACGACATTGGTTGTTTCATAGGAATAGTGTTGAATGTGTAGATTGCTTTTGGCAGTATAGCCATTTTAACAATATTGATCTTTCTAATCCATGAGCATGGAATAGTTTTCCATTTGCTTTGTCATCTATGATTTCTTTCTGCAGTGTTTCGTACTTCTCCTTTTAGATATCCTTTACCTCCTTGCTTAGACATATTCTTCTTTTCTTTTATTTTATTTTGGGGGTTGCTGTTGTAAACAGGATTGCACTCTTGATTTACCTCTCAGTTTAAACATTTTTGGTGTACAGAAATGATACTTCTTTCTATATGTTGATTTTTTTTAATCCTCAAAGTTTGCTGAAGTTTTTTTTATCAGTTCTAGGAGCCTTTTGGCACAGTCTTTAGGGATTTCTAGGTGTAGAATCATATCATCAGTGAAGAGAGATAATTTGACTTCATTTCCTATTTGGATGCCTTTTATAGCTTTCTCTTGCCTGATTTCTCTGGCTAGGACTTGTTAAACAGGAGTGGTGAGAACAGGCATCCCTATTTTATTCCTGTTCATAAGGGGAATGTGTTGGGAGAAAAGCTGAGTGTTGGAAGAGAAGCTGAGGCAGGGCCATATGTTTCTCATTCACTTGATACACCGTTTCCTTTCAACCCCTAAATCCTCACCACCTGTTTGTTTGAGCACCAACAAATAGCGTGGGCTCCCAGAGCTTGGGGACTTTGCAGACTCCACACTCGTGATGGTCTCCTGGTCCCACTTTCTCTCTCAAACTGTCTTTTTCTCATTCCTTTGACTCTGCCGGACTTCATCACCCCCATGACCTAGTGTTGGGTCTGATCACCCCAACATTCCTGGCGCCCAACATGGGGTGACAAAGACCCGGTGAAGGAAGGCTGGAGCATGTGAAAGCAGAGGACACAACATCAAAAGACACCCGAGGACATACAAAGATGGGGAATGAAAATTAGTACTTAGAATTTGTTATCACTCTTTAGTACAGTAAAGCAGTTTTGCCCATGGTTTCCAGAACAAAGGACTATGAAGTTGGATGAATGGGAGAGAATTGGAAGAGATTTTTTAAAAGGCATATAAAGATGGAGCAGAAATTCTAGTTTCTGTATGGTCAGTGTGGGCACTAATAAAGGCAGCCCTTGAGCCATTTCAAACAGATGATGAGGCAGACTCAGATGAGGAAGAGGAGGATGAGTGTAAAAAACTAACTTCAAATTCTGAGTGTGGGGAGCAGCTACCAGAGGAGATTAAAGAAAAGAAAGAAAAACTTTTAAAAGTATGTTTTACTAGCCCGTTGGCTCCACCTGCTGAATTAAGTGAATGGCCACCTCCTCTCTCTCCTCTAAATGGGTGAGAAAATCAATTAGCTGAAAAACTTACTGCTCCTGTAGTTACAACATTAAAACCTGGAGCAATTGGTGGTGGTAGACAAAATTCTATTCAAAAAGCTAAAGCCAAGGGAGACCTTGAAGCATGGCAATTTCCCGTTACTATAATCCAGCAAGTAGGACAGAATATAGCTAATTAGGCTGCTTTCTCTTTTAAGTTACTAAAGAATTTAAGCAAGCCATTAGTCAATATGGACTGAACTCTCTTTTTGTGCAAACTTTATTTAAAAATATGGCTCTTGATAATAGATTACTACCATATAATTAGGATACTTTGACAAAACCTGTTCTCACTCCATCTCAGTACTTGCAGTTTAAAACTTGGTAGGCTGATGAAGCTCAAACTCAGGCAAAAGAAAACACACAAGTGCAGCCACCTGTGCCTGTTTTCTTTGATCAGTTAATATGAGTTGGCCCTAACTGGGGTTGATTAGAGAATCAAGCACTAATGGAAGATGTTGCCATTGTTCAGCTGTGCTTCATGTGCTTACATGCATAGAAAAGGATAAATGTTACCGGGGAAAAGTATCCTTATTTCAGTTCTGTCTGACAAGGACCTAAAGAACCATATATTAATTTTATTGCTCAGCTCCAAGAGGCTGTGTATAAAGCCTCAAATGATCAAAACAGCTCAGGATGTTGTAATACAGCTTCTTGCATACAATAATGCTAATGCAGAGTGTCAAACTGCTATTAGATCCCAGACAGAGAGGGCCCATTTAACTAAATATATTAAGGCTTGCGATGGCATTGGAGATAACTTACATAAGGTTATTCTTTTAGCTCAGGCTGTGGCTAGATTAAGAGTAAGAAAAAATATGCTTCATTTCTCAGGCTCTTGACTTAATTGTGGGCAAATTGGACACAAGAAAGGAATGTAGAAAGGAATTCAAAAGACGAAAACTACTACCATCAATCAACAGAAAAGTCCCAACGTACGTCCCTGGTGTAAGAAAGGCAATCACTGGGCAAGTCCGTGTCATTCTAAATTTAGCAAAGATGGACAACCTCTTTCAGGAAATAGGAAGAGGGACCCGCCTCAAGCCCCTCAACAAACTGAGGCATACCCAGCACAGCCACTGCCCTTACATATGTACAGCAATTGTCCCCCGCCTCAGCAAGCAGTGCTGCTGTAGACCTCTACAGCACAATTCCCATCTCCTTACTTCCTGGGGAGCCACCAAAGAAGGTCCCCACAGGAGTTAGGGCACCCTTACCCTGAGGAACTGTTGGGAACAAGCCTCCCCAAATCTGGCCATAAACTGGCCCCAAAACTGGCCATAAACAAAATCTCTGCAGCACTGTGACATGTTCATGATGGCCATAACACCCAGGCTGGAAGGTTGTGGGTTTACTGGAATGAGAACAAGGAATACCTGGCCCGTCCAGGGTGGAAAACCACTTAAAGGCATTCTTAAGCCACAAACAATAGCATGAGTGATCTGTGCCTTAAGAATAAGGGATACTTTTAGTTAATCTAATATCTATAGAAACAATGCTAATGACTGGCTTGCTGTTAATAAATACGTGGGTAAATCTCTGTTCAGGGCTCTGCTCTGAAGGCTGTAAGACCCGCCCCCCCCCCCCGATTTCCCACTTCACACCTCTATATTTCTGTGTGTGTGTCTTTAATTCCTCTAGTGCTGCTGGGTTAGGGTCTCTCCAACCGACCTGGTCTCAGCAAGTGGTGCCCATTCATGGGGGCTCAAATACAGGTCAAAGGATCGCTGGAGCAACGATTGGAGAATGTGGAACTAGCTGGAGGACACCCGAGTACTCTTAAAGCAATCCCCGTGGTGAGTAAGAAGGGGAGCTCGGAAGCATCAGGGTAGCAATAGGACAAGTGTGGGCTGTGGTTCGTTCTACCTTGGAACTTTTTCACACTGATGATGAGGAGGAAGGAGAGTATAACAAAGTAACAGTAGAGGTTACAGACCAGGTTTATTTGTCACCTAAAGCTAAAGCAGAAAAGGAGGGAGAGGTTCATCCCTATCCTTCTGCACACCCTCATTACTATTTTGAAGAAAACGACCCTCCAGATCTTTCTTTTCTGGAGGACACTGGGTGAAAAGTAGTTGCCCTGGTGACTGTTCGAGCAGCGCCTTGAGCGACTGCTCTTAGTTCTATTCAGGCAGGAATACAGCAAGCTAGACAAAAGTGGGATTTAGAGGCTTGGCAGTTCCCTGTTTGAATACACCCCCCAGATCAACAGGGAAATATTATAGCTACATTTGAGCCTTTTCCTTTTAAATTACTCAAAAAAATTAAACAAGCTATAAATCAGTATGGACCAGGTTCTCCTTTTGAAATGGGACTGTTAAAGAATGTTGCTGTTTCCAGTCGGATGATTCCTACTGACTGGGACACTTTTACTCTAGCTTGTCTAACTCCTGCTCAGTTCTTACAATTTAAAACTTAGTAGGCAGATGAAGCTTCCATTCAGGCTGCTCGCAATGCCTGGGCCCAACCTCAAATTAATATAACTGCAGACCAACTTTTGGGGGTTGGTGGCTGGGCTGGTTTACATGCACAAGTGGTCATGCAGGATGATGCCATAGAACAGCTTAGAGAAGTGTGCATTAGAGCTTGGAATAAATCACTTCATGTGGAGAACAATACCCTTCCTTTAGTGCTATAAAACAGGGACCAAGAGAACCATATGTGGATTTTATAGCTTGGTTACAGGAGTCTCTTAAAAAGATGATTGCAGATTTGGCTGCTTAGGATATAGTGTTGCAGTTATTGGTTTTGACAATGCTAATCCTTATTGCCAGGCTGCTCTGCGACCTATCAGAGGGAAAGCACATTTAGTTGATTATAACAAGGCCTGTGATGATATCAGAGATAATCTACATAAAGCTACTTTGTTGGCACAGGCGATGGCAGGACTGAGAGTGGATAAAGGAAATACTCTATTTCCTGGAGCTTGTTTTAACTGTGGGAAGCATGGTCATACTAAAAAGAATGTAAAAAAAAAAAATCACCGAGTCAGGCCACCAGATAGGGGAAAAAACAAAACTGCTGATCCTGAAATATGTCCAAAATGTAAAAAAGGAAAACTTTGGGCTAATCAGTGTCACTCTAAGTTTGATAAAGAAGGGAACCCGATTTTGGAAAACTCCCTGAGGGGCCCATCCCAGGCCCTGTTCTAAACCAGGGCATTTCCATCTCAGGCCATTCCCTCACCCCCATACGTTATCTTTCCCCACCACAGCCCATAGTGCTGCAGTAGATCTATGCTGCACAAAAGCTGTGAGCCTTCTGCCTGGGGAACCCCCGCAAAAGGTCCCAACAGGAGTCTGTGGACCGTTGCCAGGAGGGACAATGGGATTACTTTTAGGAAGGTCTAGTTTAAGTTTAAAAGGGGTACAAATACACACTGGAGTCATTGATTCAGATTACAATGAGGAAATTCAAATTGTGATATTTAGTTCTGTTCCCTGGAAAGCACAGCCAGGAGTGCGCATAGCACAGCTCCTGAGTGAGCCGTATGTGGGAATGGGAAAAAGTGAAATTAAATGAACTGGAGGATTTGGAAGCACAAATAAAAAAGGCAAGGCAGCTTATTGGGTAAATCAAATTACTGATAAACATCCTATCTGTGAAATAACTATCCAGGGAAAGAACTTTAAAGGTTTGGTAGATACTATTTTTTTTTTTTTGGTAGGAGTGGACATTTCAATTATTTCTCTACAGCACTGGCCGTCCATGTGGCCAATTCAGCCCACTCAATTTAACACAGTGGAAACTGCTAAAGCTCCAGAAGTGTATCAGAGTAGCTATACTTTGCATTGTGAAGGGCCCAATGGACAACCTGGGACTGTTCAACCAATTGCAACTTCTGTACCTATAAATTTATGGGGGAGAGATTTATTATGACAATGGGGAGCACAAGTTCTAATTCCATAACAATTATACAGCCCTCAAAGTCAACATATGATGCACAAAATGGGGCATTTCCCTGGTATAGGAGTAGAAAAAAAATTGCAAGGTTTGAAAGAACTGCTTCAAACGGAAAGACAAAGTTCCTGCCAAAGATTAGGATACCATTTTTGATGGTGGCCATAGTTAAGCCTCCAGAACCTATACCTTTAAAATGGTTAACAGATAAGCCAATTTGGATAGAATAATGGCTGCTAAGCAAAGGGAAACTGGATGCTTTAGAGAAATTAGTTACTGAACAATTAGAAAATGGGCACATGACTCCAACATTTTCCCCTTGGAATTCTCCAGTTTTCATAATTAAGAAAAAATCAGGTAAATGGAGAATGTTAACTGACTTAAGAGCCATCAATTCAGTTATACAACCTATGGAAATATAACAGCCAGGATTCCCTTCTCTACTATAATTCCAAAAAATTGGCCTTTAATAATCACAGATTTAAAAGACTGTTTCTTTACTATCCTTTTAGCTGAGCAAGACTGTGAACGGTTTGCATTTACAATTCCTGCAGTAAACAACCTGCAGCCTGCTAAGCGTTTTCATTGTTTCACAGATGGGTCTAGTAATGGTAAAGGTTCTTATTCTGGATCAAAAGCTAAAGTTTTCCAGACACCCTATACTTCAGCTCAAAAGGCGGAGCTTGTAGCTGTAATTGAGGTGTTGACTGCTTTTGATATGCCTGTTAATGTGATTTCTGATTCTTCATACATGGGTCATTCCACACAGTTAATTGAAAATGCTCAGTTAAGATTTGATACAGATGAACAACTGATAATAAAAACAAAAACGGGGGAGAAACAGGGATTATGGGATAGCCCATACACAATTGAATCTTGCATTATTAACTTTCAAATTTTTGAGCCTGCCCAAAGGCCAGATGTTACCAGCAGCTGAACAGCATCTACAGAAACCAGCTGCAAAGACAGAAGCAGACCAACTGGTTTGGTGGAGAGATCCAATAACAAAAAGTTGGGAAATAGGTAAAATTATAACTTGGCATAGAGGTTATGCTTGTGTTTCTCCAGGACTGAATCAACAACTGATTTAGATACCATCAAGACACCTGAAATTTTATCATGAGCCAGATGCTGAGGAAGAGAGAAAAAGCACAATCATCATTGAAATTAGAGCTTCTGGCTGGGCGCGGTGGCTCACGCCTGTAATCCCAGCACTCTGGAAGGCCGAGGTGGGCGGATCACAAGGTCAGGAGATCGAGACCATCCTGGCTAACACGGCAAAACCCCGTCTCTACTAAAAATACAAAAAATTAGCTGGGTGAGGTGGCGGGCGCCTATAGTCCCAGCTACTCAGGAGGCTGAGGCAGGAGAATGGCGTGAATCCAGGAGGCAAAACTTCAGGTTTTGCCAAGAATGACACTGTAAATGTAACAAAGCTTCTGTGCTTGTTAGTGAACACCAAATCAGCTACTCTCCTGTATTCGGAGATCAGGATGAAATGAAAAGAACAAGCAGGCCGGGCACGGTGGCTCATGCCTGTAATGTCAACACTTTGGGAGGCTTACGTGTGCGGATCACCCGAGGTTGGGAGTTCGAGACCAGCCTGACCAACATGGAGAAACCCCGTCTCTACTAAAAATGCAAAATGAGCTGGGCGTGGTGGCACAAGCCTGTAATCCCAGCTTGGGAGGCTGAGGCAGGATAAGTGCTTAAACCTGAGAGGCGGAGGTTGCGGTGAGGCAATATTGCAACATTGCACTCCAGCCTGGGCAACAAGAGTGAAACTCCATCTCAAAAAAATAAAAAATAAAAAAAGACCCCCAACCTTGTCTAGACTGTGGGGTTTCAGTTTCACCCCAGGGGGGTCCTGGTTGGGTTAGAACCCTGAATCTGGTTTGAGTTCGTATCCTAAAGAATAAAGGGAATAAAGGCTGTAGCCACTAAGCTACTCAATCTGGTCCGGTTCTGGCTTTTGTGTGTCTGTCTGTATTTTTGGTCTAAATATTTGGCCCAACAGAGGTTAAAGGCTTTGATGTTCTCAGCAAAAGCCTTGTGAGATCTCTAGTTTATCTGTGTGCTCAATTGGAACAAAGAGACTCCATAAACTAGAAAAACCTAAAGAAAATGGCACGCGTGAAAAAATGAGAGCCAACTCCTGTTTGTTGTTCTGTCCACCTCCCTCTCTCACTCCTCCTTCTGCCTTTGCTGTGGTCCCATGGTGTTTCTGTCTTTCTGGGGACCTGAGATTCAGTGTAGGAGTGAAGTCCATGATTTTAAAGCCTTCATGTCTCTGCTTTTTAACTCTGCCTGCTTTGCTGAGCTCTTATAATGAGAAATAAACCATTCAGAACAGAAACAACAGGGCATCAGAAAACCAACTTCAGGCAGCACTCCGGCAAGTACCTCCCTAGAGGGGAAGGGCCTACTAAAGGAGATTTAATCTTGAAAAGGCCAAAATGAGAAGCTCTAACCTTAAGCTTGCTAGGTTTTCTGGGACTCGAGCTGGCTATATATTATGGACCATTCTAGCCACACACATACACACACACACACACACACACACACACACACACACACATTTTTTTGAGACAGAGTCTTGCTCTGTTGCCCATGCTGGAGTGCAGTGGTGTGATCTTGGCTCACTGCAACCTCCACTTCCCAGGTTCGAGCAATTCTCCTGTCTCAGCCTCCTGAGTAGCTGCGATTACAGGTGTGCGCCACCATACCCGGCTAATTTTTGTGGTTTTAGTAGAGATGAAGTTTCACCATGTTGGCCAGGCTGGTCTCAAACTCCTGATCTCAAGTGATCCACCCGTCTTGGCCTCCCAAACTGCTGGGATTACAGGCATGAGCCACTGTGCCCAGCCTATACATATATATATACTTTTTTTTTCCTTTTTCTTTTTGACACAGAGTCTTGCTCTGTTGCCCAGGATGGAGTATGGTGGTACAATCGCGGCTCACTGCAACCTCCGCCTCCCAGGTTTGAGCAATTATCCTGCCTCAGCCTCCTGAATAGCTGGGACTACAGGTGGACACTACCACACCCAGTTAATTTTTGTATATTCAGTAGAGATGGGGTTTTGTCACATTGGCCAGGCTGGTCTCAAACTCCTGGCCTCAAGTGATCCACCTGCCTCAGCCTCCGATAGTGTTGGGATTACACGCATGAGCCACTGCACCTGACCTCTAGTGCACACTTTAAACCTGATGGCCAAATTACATGAAAGAAAATTCAGAACTCAAATAGTTACTATTTTTAAAAACCCTAAAGTGAAAAAGTCTCAGTTCTTTTGCCTATCTATTTTTTTTTTCCCTGCCTACTTTGAATCTGCTGATTTGTCTACTGGTGTTGAGATAAGACTTACTGTCTGTGGTGTTACTAATTCAAGGTCACTTGGCTGAAGAAAAACAAAAGAATGAAACAATTCTTTATTTTTTTCTCTTTTTGAGACAAGTTCTCACTCTAAGGTCTCACTCTGTTCCCCAGACTGGAGTGCAGTAGTGAGATCATAGCTCACTGTTATCTCAACCTCCCAGGCTCAAGCAATCCTCCTGCCTCATCCTCTCTAGTAGCTGGGACAATAAGCATGCACCACCATGCCTGGCAATTTTTTATCTTATTCTTAGTAGAGATTGGGTCTCACTATGTTGCCCAGGCTGGTCTCAAACTCCTGAGCTCAAGTGATCCTCTTGCCTCAGCCTCTCAAAGTGCTGGGATACAGGCATGAACCACTGTGCCCAGACAAAAGAGTTCTTTTATAAATACAAATAATTTAAAAAGTATTGATAAAATAAAAATAGAAAATAGAAATCTCTTCAGACTTGTCAGCATACATTTTTGACTGTGTTTTATATTTACATTTGCTAGATATTTTAAGGTGCTAGGGTTTGGCATGAAGGTTATAAAGCTATAAACACAGGAAAAAAGAATATTTGTTTATGTGATTTTTTAAATACATAAGACCAATTTAATATGGTTTGTTGAACAAAAATAATGGAATTTTCTGAGTTATTGGTAAAATACCCATGTATTTAACTTTGAAGTCCTCACTTACGTGAACACCTGATATTCACAGGCTATAACATGGTTAACAAGAAAATAACCTAGAAATGATGACTAGCTTTGTCTAATACCTCAGTTCTCACAAATACTCTAGATAAACTGTCAAAAATAAGTAAATGTAAATGGATAAATGTCTATACAAGATATCTTAATGTATTTTTGAAATTTTTTTGAGACAGTGTCTCTGTCTGTCACCCATGCTGAAGTGCAGTGGCATGATCACAGCTCACTGCAACCTTGACCTTCTGCGCTCAAGGGATCCTCCCACCTCAGCCTCCCATGTAGCTGTTAATTACAGGCATACACCACCATGGTCAGCTAACTTTTATTTTTTTTTGTAGAGTCAGCCTCTCACTATTTTGCTCAGGCTGGTTTCATGATACTCCTGCCTAGGCCTCCTAAAGTGTTGGGATTACAGGTGTGAGCCACCATGCCCAGCCTATTTTTGAAATTTTAGTTATGTTAAATTAAATAATAGATACTCATTAAATATCTGGGTTATTTCCAATTTAAAACTTATGTTTTAGCCCAGGCACTGTGGCTCACGCCTGTAATCCCTGCACTTTGGGAGGCCAAGGCGGGTGGCTCACCCGAGGTCAGGAGCTCAAGACCAGCCTGATCAACATGGTGAAACCCCATCTCTACTAAAAAATACAAAAAATTAGCCAGGTGTGATGGTGGGTTCCTGTAATCCCAGCTACTCGGGAGGCTGAGGCAGGAGAATTACTTGAACCTGGGGGGCGGAGATTGCAGTGAGCTGAGATCACACCATTGCACTCCAGCCTGGGCAACAAGAGCGAAAATCCATCTTAAAAAATATGTTTTAGGAACACATAATTCTAAATTATGAAATTATTCTCATATGTAAGATACTGCTATATGACAATTCCAGATTTCTTGCTTCCTAGGTTTTTTATTAAAATAAGGGTTACTAAGTGTTAATATCTTGCTAGATATGTGTGATTAAGACTACTAGATACAAGAGAAACAATTCTGTATGCAAAATGTATACCGGTTTTTGTTTCAGAGAAAGTAAATTCGCTTAGAGATTTTTAAGGATTATTTTAAATTGAAGGAATAAAAAAGATAGATAAAACTACATGTGTATAAAAAGTTGGGAAAGATGAAAAAATTATAGAAGGTTATTAAAAGTTTATGTAAATCTTACATCGAGGCCAAAACTGATTGAGATCAGATAGATTGTTTATAAAGTTTATTTAAATTAGCTATAATATTAAAAACAGCGATAAAAAACTAAAAATTTTGGTTAAAACAACAAGGTTTTCTTAATGTATTTATTTGCTCATAATAAGAGGTAATAAATATTGACTTTTAATCCTGAAATCTGTTACTATAAAAACTTTTCAGATTTGTATATCAGAAGTTCAACTTTTCCTGTACTTTCATGTTACACATGACTCACAGATCACATCACTGTCTCCTGTTCCTTCTTGAGAAGGAATAAAAGGCTTGGGTTTCCTGCTTGGCTGGGATGATAACTCCTTCAGCTTTTTCATCAGGTCTAATTTTATACTCTTGGCTTTTAAATATGTCTTAATTACTTCATGTAACCAGGAAACTTTCTTGCTATCATTGTGAGCTATGGATCCCCACTGCTCTATGCTCTGGTTTTCCTGTTTACATTCCTTTGTAATATTATGCTCACTCATGACCCTGGACACACTCTTTCTATGTCTAATTAAATTCAAGTCTCCTTGTCATCGGAATTGACTTCCAAGTGATTTAAATTAGTTTCCTGTAAGAAGACACAGTTATGCCACAGGAGTTTTACCCTTTAAATGACTGGCCTGTAATAAAGATTTTAGGTTTTATCAAGATAATCCATGTGTTGCCTTTATTTTTTTTTTAATTACTTGGGAAAACTGAGGGTTTTCAGTTATCACATCCATGTAACCTTCTACGTTGCTTTTGATGTCTTTTGGTTGTCATGCTAATTAAATGAATGACTGTTATTTAAAAATGACATGTGGCTGTGTGCAGCGGCTCTTGTCTGTAATTCCGGCCCTTTGGGAGGCCAAGGTGGGTGGATCACTTGAGCCCAGGAGTTCAAGTCCAGCCTGGGCAAAATGGCAAAACCGCATCTCTACTGAAAATACAAAAGCTAGCTATGTGTCATAACAAGTGCTCATAGTCCTGGCTACTTGGGATACTAAGGTGGAGGATCACCTGAGCCTGGGAGGTTGAGGCTGCAGTGAGCCATGATTTCACCACTGCACTCCAGCCTGGGCAACAGGGTGAGACCCTGTCTCAAAAAAATAATAAAATAAAAAACAATAAACTGTCATTCTGTTTTGGTCAAATGTTTTCAATTTTTTGACATCTTTGCTAAATCTTATTTGATAACATTGTATGGGAAGCATTGCCAAAAGATAAGTAACACTAAATCTTCTTTTTTTTTTCTCTGAGACACAATCTTGCTTTGTCACCCAGGCTGGAGTGCAGTGGCGTGATCTAGGTCCATTGCAACCTCTGCCCCAAGGTTCAAGCGATTCTCCTGCCTCAACCTCCCAAGTAGCTGAGACTACAGACACATGCCACCACGCCCGGCTAATTTTGTATTTTTAGTAGAAACAAGATTTCTCCATGTTGGCCAGGCTGGTGTCAAACTCCTGACCTCTGATGATCTGTCCAACTTGGCCTCCCAAAGTGTTGGGATTACAGACATGAGCCACTGTGCCTGGCCTAAATCTTCTTTTGGTTACATTTATAGGTATATTATTAATATAAATATTTTAAATGTTATATAAATTATAAAAATCTAATATGGTATCAGTCATAATTTTGATGATGTTAAATATTCTCTAAAGTTGTATATGTATAGATATATTATTAATATAAATATTCTAAAGATTATATAAAATTTGTGGAAGTCTGATGGATCTGATGTGTTGCCGTCAGTCATGATTCTGGCTGTTATCTTAAAATGCTACATATAATAGAAATAACTAAATTTTCTCGCAGGTCAAGAACTTCCACTGGATTTTAACCAAAGGATATTCTAAGTTTTTGTCATCCACAGTGATTGTTTAAAGTTCTTCTCTAAAACCCTTTACAGGCTGGGCGTGCTGCTGGAGGCTGTGCAGGGCACGGTGCTGGGCGTGGTGCAGGGCACGGTGGCTCACACGTGTAAAAATCCCAGCACTTTGCAAGGCCGAGGTGGGTGAATTGCTTGAACTCAGAAGTTTGAAAGCATCCTGGGCAACATGGTAAAACCCTGTCTCTACAAAAATACAAAAATTAGCCAGCATGATGGTGCATGCCTATGGTCCCAACTACTTCGGAGGCTGAGGTAGGAGGATGGCTTGAGTTTGGGAGGGAGAAATTGTGGTGAGCCAAGATCATGCCACTGCACTCCATCCTGAGTGATAGAACCAGACCATGTCTCAAAAAAAATAAAAAAGCCTTTACAATCAGCTATCATCTAAATTATTTTTAATGGAAAGGACTCTGACAAGTTCTCTTAAATATGGTTTCAGATAACTTTGGGGATCATACCATTGGACTAGGAAAATCTTCCAGGACTCTAAAAAGCTGAATGAGAATTTCCAATTGAAATCAAGCAAAACACAAAAAACTGAATGAGAATTGCTATTTGAAATCAAGCAGAACAAGATTTAGTTACATTGGACTGAACTTATAAAAGAAGGAAAAGATTTTATTCATGGCCCTTCCATTGGAAACATTGTTGATTCTCTTTATGTTTTGTTTTCCAAAGTCAAGAATTTTTTTTCTTTTCAGCTATTTTTAACTTACCCTACGTTAGAAAAACTACATTGTGAACAAAAATTTGAGCCATTTATCTGTCTCTCTAACTGATTTCTCCAGAATTCAGAAGCCATTCGTGAGCATTCCTAAATTATGGCAATATAATTATTTGCATAATTTCAATAAGAATCTATTTTTGGTAACAGGATTCAATTGGAGACACTGTTTGTTTTATCAAGGCTTTAACTCGAACAGCAGATACAACCAGACCACTTTAAGGAATTGAGCTTGACTTTATAGCACCAATGCAAAGCCCCTTAGAATGACTGGCTTGGTGTCTTGTCTACAAGGGTCCTTTACAAAGTTGCTGTCCTTGTGGTAAGAAGTAAAGAATGTCACTTTCTGACGGGCCCAGGAACCTCAAGTTATTTGGGGACCTTGAGAAGATAGGACTACACCCATTCATAAAAGTATTACAGAAGAGCTGGCAAGATGTCTGAATAGGAACAGCTCCGGTCTGCAGCACCCAGTGGGATCAACACAGAAGGCAGGTGGTTCATGCATTTCCAACTGAGCCTCCACTGGTGATACCCAGGCAAACAGGGTCTGGAGTGGACCTCCAGCAAACTCGAGCAAACCTGCAGCAGAGGGACCTGACTGGTAGAAGGAAAACTAACAAACATAAAGGAATAGTATCAACATCACCAACATCAAAGACCAAAGGTAGATAAATCCACAAAGATGGGGAGAAACCAGTGCAAAAAGGCGAAAACTCCAAAAGCCAGAATGCCTCTTCTCCTCCAGAAGATCACAACTCCCCACCAGCAAGGGAACAAAACTGGACAGACAATGAGTTTGATGGATTGACAGAAGTAGGCTTCAGAAGGCGGGTAATAACAAACTCCTCCAAGCTAAAGGAGCGTGTTCTAACCCAATGCAAGGAAGCTAAGAGCCTGAAAAAAAAAGGTAGGATGAATTGTTAACTAGAATAACCAGTTTAGAGAAGAATATAAATGAACTGATGGAGCTGAAAAACCCAGCACAAGAACTTCATGAAGCATACACAAGTATCAATAGCTGAATCAATCAAGCAGGAGAAAGAATATCAGAGATTGAAGATCAACTCAATGAAATAAAGCAAGAAGAAAAGATTCGAGAAAAAAGAGTGAAAGAAATGAACAAAGCCTCCAAGAAATAGAGGAATATGTTAAAACACTGAATCTATGTTTGATTCGTGTACCTGAAAGTGACAGAGAGAATGGAACCAAGTTGGAAAACACTCTCAAGGATATTATCCAGGAGAACTTCCCCAACCTAGCAAGACAGGCCAACATTCAAATTCAGGAAATACAGAGAACACCACTAAGATATTCCTCAAGAAGAGCAACCCCAAGACAAAAAATCATCAGATTCACCAAGGTTGAAATGAAGGAAAAAATATAAAGGGCATCCAGAGAGAAAGGTTGAGTTACCCACAAAGGGAAGCCCATCAGACTAACAGTGGATCTCTTGGCAGAAAGCCTACAAGCCAGAAGAGAGTGGCGGCCAATATACAACATTCCTAAAGAAAAGAATTTTCAAGCCAGAATTTCATATCCAGGCAAACTAAGCTTCATAATTGAAGTAGAAATAAAATCCTTTACAAGCAAATGCTGAGAGATATTGTCACCACCAGGCCTGCCTTACAAGAGCTCCTGAAGGAAGCACTAAACATGGAAAGGAACAACTGGTAACAGCCACTGCAAAAACATAACAAATTATACAGACCATTGACACTATGAAAAATCTGCATCAACTAATGAGCAAAATAACCAGCTAGTATCATAATGACAGGATCAAATTCATACATAACAATATTAACCTTAAATGTAAATGAGCTAAATGCCCCCAATTGAAAGACACAGACTGGCAAATTGGATAAAGAGTCAAGACCCATCAACGTGCTGTACTCAGGAGACCCATCTCATACACATAGGCTCAAAATAAAGGGATGGAGGAACATTTACCAAGCAAGTGGAAAGCAACAAAAGGCGGGGGTTGCAATCCTAGTTTCTGATAAAACAGATCTTAAGCCAACAGAGATCAAAAGAGACAAAGAAGGGCACTACATAATGGTAAAGGGATCAATGCAACAAGAAGAGCTAACTATCCTAGACATATATGCACCCAATACAGGAGCACTCAGATTCATAAAGCAAGTTCTTAAAGACCTACAAAGAGACTTAGACTCCCACACAATAATAGTGGGAGACTTTAACACTCCACTGTCAATATTAGATCAATGAGACAGAAAATTAACAAGAATATCCAGGACTTGAACTCAGTTCTGGACCAAGGGGACCTAAAAGATATCTACAGAACTCTCCACCCCAAATCAATAGAATATACCTTCTTCTCAGCACCACATTGCACTTATTCTAAAATTGACCACATAATTGGAAGTAAAACTCTCCTCAGGAAATGCAAAAGAATGGAAATCATAACAAACAGTCTCTCAGACCGCAATGCATTCAAATTAGTATGCAGGATTAAGAAACTCACTCAAAACCTCACAACTACATGGAAACTGGGTAACCTGATCCTGAATGACTACTGGGTAAATAAAGAATTGAGGGCAGAAATAAAAATGTTCTTCGAAACCAATGAGAACAAAGACACAACGTCCCAGAATCTCTGGGACACATTTAAAGCAGTGTGTAGAGGGAAATTTATAGCACTAAATGTCCACAAGAGAAAGCAGGAAAGATCTAAAATTGACACCTTAACATGAAAATTAAAAGAACTAGAGAAGCAAGAACAAACAAATTCAAAAGCTAGCAGAAGACAAGACACAAATAAGATCAGAGCAGAATTGAAGGAGATAGAGACACGAAAAACCCTTCAAAAAATCAATGAATCCAGGAGCTGATTTTTTGAAAAGATCAACAAATCAGACCACTAGCCAGACTAATAAAGAAGAAAAGAGAGAAGAATCAAATAGATGCAATAAAACATGATTAAGGGGATATCACCACTGATCCCACAGAAATGCATATTATCATCAGAGAATACTACCAAGACTAAACCAGGAAGAAGTGAAATTCCTGAATAGACCAATAACAAGTTCTGAAATTGAGGCATTAATTATAGCCTACCAACCAAAAAAATTCCAGGACCAGATGGATTCACAGCCGAATTCTACGAGAGGTACAAAGAGGAGCTCGTACCATTCCTTCTGAAACTATTCCAAACAATAGAAAAAGAGAGAATCCTCCCTAACTCATTTTATGAGGTCAGCATCACCTTGATACCAAAACCTCGCAGGGACACAACAAAAAAAGAAAACTTTAGACCAATATCCCTGATGAACATTGATGCAGAAATCCTGAATAAAATACTGGAAAACTGAATCCAGCAGCACATCAAAAAGCTTGTCCACCATGATCAAGTCGGCTTCACCCCTGGGATGCAAGGGTGGTTCAACATATGCAAATCAATAAATGTAATCCATCACATAAAGGGAACCAATGACAAAAACTGCATGATTATCTCAATAGATGCAGAAAGGGCCTTTGACAAAATTCAACAACCTTTCATGCTAAAAACTCTCAATAAACTGGTATTGATGGAACGTATCTCAAAATAATAAGTGCTATTTATGACAAACCCACAGCCAGTAACATACTGAATGTGCAAAAACTGGAAGCATTCCCTTTGAAAATCAGCACAAGACAAGGATACCCTCTCTCACTACTCCTATTCAACATAGTATTGGAAGTTCTGGCCAGGGCAATCAGGCAAGAGAAAGAAATAAAGGGTATTCAATTAGGAAAAGAGAAAGTCAAATGGCCTCTCTTTGCAGATGACATGATTGTATATTTAGAAAACCCCATCATCTCAGCCCAAAATCTCCTTAATCTGATAAGCAACTTCAGCAAAGTTTCAGGATACAAAATCAATGTGCAAAAATCACAAGCATTCCTATACAGCAATAACAGACAAACAGAGAGCCAAACTGTGAGTGAACTCCCATTCACCATTGCTATAAAAAGAATGAAATACCTAGGAATACAACTTACAAGGATGTGAAGGACCTCTTCAAGGAGAACTACAAACCACTCCTCAAGGAAATAAGAGAGGACACAAACAAATGGAAAATCATTCCATGCTCATAGATAAGAAGAATCAGTATCGTGAAAGTGACCTACTGCCCAAAGTAATTTATAGATTCACTGCTATCCCCATTAAACTGCCATTGACTTTCTCCACGGAATTGGAAAAATATACTTTAAATTTCATATGGAATCAAAAAAGAGCCCGAATAGCCAAGACAATCCTAACCAAAAAGAACAAAGCTGGAAGCATCATACCACCTGACTTCAAACTATACTACAAGCTATGGTAACCAAAACAGCATGGTACTGGTACGAAAACAGATATATAGATCAAAGGAACAGAACAGAGGCCTCAGAAATAACACCACACATCTACAACCATCTGATCTTTGACAAACCTGAGAAAAACGAGCGCTGGGGAAAGGATTCCCTATTTAATAAATGGTGTTGGGAAAACTGGCTAGCCATAGGCAGAAAGCTGAAACTGGATCCCTTCCTTACACCTTATGCAAAAATTAACTCAAGGTGGGTTAAAGACTTAAACATAAGACCTAAAGCCATAAAAACCGTAGAGGAAAACCTAGGCAATACCATTCAGGACATAGGCATGGGCAAAGACTTCATGACTAAAACACCAAAAACAAAGGCAACAAAAGCCAAAATTGACAAATGGGACCTAATTAAACTAAAGAGTTTCTGGACAGCAAAAGAAACTATCAGAGTGAACGGGCAACCTACAAAATGGGAGAAAATTTTTGCAGTCTATCCATCTGACAAAGGGCTAATATCCAGAATCTACAAAGAACTTAAACAAATTTGCAAGATAAAACAACCCCATTGAAAAGCGGGCAAAGGATGTGAACAGACACTTCTCAAAAGAGGACAATTATGCAACCAACAAACTTATAAAAAAGCTCATCATCACTAGTCATTAGAGAAATGCAAATCAAAACCACAATGAGATACATCTCATGCCAGTTAGAATGGTGAAAATTAAAGAGTCAGGAAACAACAAATACTGGAGAGAGTGTGGAGAAATAGGAAGGCTTTTACACTGTTGGTGGGAGTGTAAATTAGTTCAACCATTGTGGAAGACAGTGTGGCTATTCCTCAAGGATCTAGAGCTAGAAATACCGTTTGGCCCAGCAATCCCATTACTGGGTATATACCCAAAGGATTATAAATCATTCTACTATAAAGACACATGCACATGTATGTTTATTGCAGGACTGTTCACAATAACAAAGACTTGGAACCAACCCAAATGCCCATCAATGATAGATTGAATAAAGAAAATGTGGCACATATACACCATGGAATACTATGCAGCCATAAAAAACGATGAGTTCATGTCCTTTGCAGGGACATGGAAGAAGCTGGAATCCATCATTCTCAGCAAACTAACACAAGAACAGAAAACCAAACACCACATGTTCTCACTCATAAGTGGGAGTTGAACAATGAGAACACATGGACACAGGGAGGGGAACATCACACACTGGGGCCTGTTAGGGGGTGGGGGCAGGGAGAGGGATAGCATTAGGAGAAATGCCTAATATAGGTGATGGGTTGATGGGTGCAGCAAACCACCGCAGAATATATATACCTATGTAACAAACCTGCACGTTCTGCACATGTACCCCAGAACTTAAAGTATAATTTTAAAAAGTAGGTTAAAAAATTATTACAGACACAGTCTGATGCAAATCTTTGACTTGGCTAGCTTCAAGGCTCTTAAAAGTCTAAGATTCCTCATTAAAAATTTCCAACAAAGCCAATTTTAAGAAGCCTATATGGCCAATAAATATTCTTGCTGCCCTTTATGGAAATAATCAGGCCCGGTATGATAAGACTAAAACTTATTTTGCATACAAAATTGGTCCTACTATGATTTGTCTTTGATAAAATGATGGACTAGAGAGAAAATTTATGTTCCAAAAGAAAACTATGACATATGCTATTAGATTCCAACCCTGATCATTGTTTTAGAGTTTTTATTATTTGCCTATAATTTGGGCTGAATCCTGAATTATTTCCTGGCTCCAAGTGTTCCCTAGTGAATCTGAATATAATATATTTTTTAAAACTTGTTTTATCCTGTCAGGAATGAGATGTATTTTTGAAGGACTACTTAAACTTAAAAAAAAATGAGACTGATTACACTCTACTCAAGACTGAAGACATGTACTTTAACCTGTCTCTGTTACCAGTAAACCAAAGCCTTAACTTTCAGAGTCTGTCAGGAACGCTGTGTGGTCCCTGGATCAACCACCCATGGGCTTATGAATGTGTTGACCGCTGGCATATGAGAAATAATTGTCAATTAGGTTATGTGACTCTTCCTCTTTCTATTTATAACTCCAATGTTTCTGAACACTGAAGTAGTTCATCGAAATTACTTTCCAGGATTAGACAAACCATACCTGCAAACCAAGGAGGTGAATTTTGGCCAATGTTTGGCAGAAGTCACTTGTAATGGTGGGGAGTAACCTCTCATGAACGTATAATTAGAAATCTGTCAACCACTCTAGGTAAATTAGCGAATGAACTAGCTGAAGCCATAGCTACCAAACAAAGATCTTTAGACTCTTTAGCCAGGATAGTCATGGATGACGGAATAACTTTAGGCTGCATAGTGGTGAAACACGGAGAAATTCATATGGCAGCTAGCTAACACATTATGTTGTGTTTAGATCCATGCATCTTCTGAAGTTGAAACAAATGTAAAAAAATAAGACAATATGAGAATTAATTATGACAAATCCTAGGGAAGAGGCTGAAAGAGCTGTAACACAAACAGGGCTGAGTCATGCCCCCTTGCTTGCCACATTGTGGGCAAAGAGAAGGAAACAAGAGCTGTGACCCTTTGGGAAGCCCAGACCTGGGAGCTCCCCGAGCCAGGGCTGTGATTCCCTATTTGGGGCCCTGTGGTTCCTGGTATCTCCAAGCTTCCGGGTGCCACTGTGTTCCCAGTGTGCCAGCTGTGGAAGCTGCTTGCGGTGCCCATGGTCCAGCCACAGACTTGTGGAGAGCTGGCACCCATGTTGGCACCTGGAGCTACCTGCCCCACTGCAGCAGCCAGGAAGTCTGACTGCACAGTGGCCAGACCCCATGCTTGCTCACACACCCCTTGCCACTCCACGCAGTCTCCCTTGGCAAACATGGGATCCAACCTGGTAGCATGAGCTGAGCACAGCCTGCCAGGCTAAGTGGGCGGGGCCCAAGCAAAACTCAGGTAAAGGTGCCACCAGCCATAGAGGTTTCTGTCCAGAAAAGTGACACTCCAAAGATCCCGTAACACCGCTACTCTTCCCAGCCTCTGGAAACTCTCAGTCTACTCTCCATCTTGATGAGTTCAATTGTTTTAATTTTTAGCTCCCACAAATGTGTGAGAACATGCAAAGTCTTTCTGTGCCTGGCTCATTGTACTTAACATAATGTTCCCTAGTTCCATCCACGTTGTTGCAAGTGACAGAATCTTATTGTTTTTCATGGCTGAAGAGTACTCCATTGTGTACATGTACTACATTTTCTTTATCCCTTCATCTGTTGATGCACACTTAGGTTGCTTCCAAATCTTGGCTATTATGAATAGTACTGAAATAAATATGGGAATGCAGATATCTCTTTCATATACTAATTTTCCCTCCCTTGGGTATATACCCAGCAGTGGGATTGCTGTATCATATGATAGTTCTATTTTTAATTTTTTGAGGGACCTCCATATTGTTCTCCATAGTGAAAGTACTAATTTACATTCCCACCAACAGAGTAAGAGGGTTCTCTTTTCCCTACATTCTTGCAAGCATTTGTTATTGCCTGTCTTTTGCATAAAAGCCATTTTAATGGGGGTAAGATGATATCTTATTGTAGTTTTGATTTGAATTTCTCTGATGATCGGTGATATTGAGCATCTTTTCATATACCTATTTGACATTTATATATCTTCTTTTTTGTTTTTGCTCATTTTTTGAGACAGTGTCTCACTCTGTCACCCAGGCTGGAGTGCAGTGGTATAATGATGGCTTACTGTAGTTATGACTACCAGGGTTCAAGCAATCCTCCCACCTCAGCCTCCTGAGTAGCTGGGACCACAGGCATGCATCACCATGCCCAGGTAGGTTTTTAAATTATTTGCTATGTTTTTCAGGTTGGTCTTGAACTCCTGGGCTCAAGTGGTCCAACTGTCTTGGCTCCCCAAAATGCTGGAATTACAGGTGTGAGCCACTGCGCCTGACCTGAATGCCTTCTTTTGAGAAATGTCTGTTCAGATTTTTTGCCCATTTAAATAATTGGATTATTAGTTTTTTTCTTATAGAGTTGTTTGAACTCCTTATATATTCTGGTTATTAATCCCTTGTCAGATATATAGTTTGCAAATATTTTCTTCCATTCTGTGGATTGTCTTTTCACTTTGTCCATTGTTTTCTTTACTATGCAGAAACTTTTGAACTTCATGTGATACCATTTGTTCATTTTTGCTTTGGTTGCCTGAGCTTTTGGAGTATTACTCAAGAAATCTGTGCCCAGACCAATTTCCTGGAGAGTTTCCCTAATGTTTTCTTTCAGTAGTTTCTTGTCCTTGATTTAAGTCTTTAACCCATTTGGATTTGATTTTTGTATATAGCACAAGAGAGGGTTCTAGTTTAATTATTCTGCCAATGACTTTGGGAGGATGAGGTGGGCAGATCATGAGGGCAGGATATCAAGAACATCCTGGCTAACACGGTGAAACTCCGTCTCTACTAAAAATACAAAAAAAAAAAAAAATAGCTGGGCGTGGTGGGGGCATTTGTACTCCCAGCTACTTGGGAGGCTGAGGAGGAGAATGGTGTGAACCCGGGAGGTGGAGCTTGCAGTGAGCCCAGATCGCGCCACTGCACTGCAGCCTGAGCAACAGAGCTAGACTCCATCTCAAAAAAAAAAAATTCTGCCAATGAATATCTAGTTTTCCCAGCACAATTTGGTGAAGAGACTGTCCTCTCCCCCATGTATATTCTTGGCACCTTCATTGAAAATGAGTTAGTTGTAAATGTGAGGATTTATTTCTGGGTTCTGTATTCTGTTCCATTGGTCTATGTGTCTGTTTTATGCCAGTACCATGCTGTTTAGCTTACAATTGCTCTGTAGTATAATTTAACGTCAGGTGATGTGATTCTTCCAGTTTTGTTCTTTTTGCTACGGATGGCTTTGGGTATTCTGGGTCTTTTATGATTTCATATAAATTTTAGGATTTTTTTTCTGTTTCTGTGAAGAATGTTATTAGTATTTCAATAGGGATTGCATTGGGTCTGTAGATTGCTTTGTGAAGTATGTGTATTTTAACAATATTTACTCTTCCAATCAATGAACATGGACTATCTTTCCATTTTTTTTTGGTGTCTTCTTTAATTTTTTTGCATTGGTGTTCTATAGTTTTCATCGTAGAGATCTTTCACTTCTTTTGTTACATTTATTCCTAGATATTTTATTTTATTTGTAGCTATTGTAAATGGGATTACGTCCTTGATTTTCTTCTTTAGATTGTTCAGTTTTGGCACTTAGAAATGTTACTGATTTTTGCATTTTGATTTTGTATCATGTGACTGAATTTGTTGATCAGTTCTGATAGTTTTTTGGTGGAGTTCTTAGGTTTTTCCAAATATAAGATCAAATCACCTGCAAACAAGAAAACAATAATAATTTTACTTCTTTCAATTTGGATGCCCTTTACTGTTTTTCAATTTTCTTGATTGCTCTAGCTAGGACTTCCAGTACTATGTTGAGTAACATTGTTGGAAGTGGACATTCTTGCCTTGTTCCAGATCTTAGAAGAAAGGCTTTCAGGTTATCTCTGTTCAGGATGATACTGGCTGAGGGTTTGTTGCATATGGTTTTTATTGTGTTGTGGTATGTTCCTTCTAAATCTAGTTTTTTGGGGGGTTTCTTTTTATCACAGGGAAATTGGATTTTATTAAATGCTTTTCAGCATCAATTGAAATTATCATATGTTTTTTGTCCTTCATTCTGTTGATATGATGTGTCACATTGATTGATTTGCATATGTTGAACCATGTTGGCATCCTTGGGATGAATCCCACTTAGACACGATGAATGGTCTTTTACATAGAATGATTTTGGAAATATTACAGACTTCTCTGTTTTTTGGAATAGTTTGAGTAGGATTGATAGTAATTCTTCCTTCAATGTTTGGTAAAATTAATCAGTGAAGCCATTGGATCCAGGTTTTTCTTTGCTAGGAGATGTTTTATTATGGGTTCAATCTCATTTATCCAGTTCTTCTAGGTTTGTGGTTTGGTTGTGGTTTTTTTTTTTTTTTTTTTTTTTTTTTTTTTTTTGAGATGGAGTCTTGCTCTGTCACCCAGGATGGAGCTTGGTACAATCTCAGCTCACTGCAACTTCTGCCTCCCAGGTTCACGCTATTCTCCTGCCTCAGCCTCTGGAGTAGCTGGGAGTACAGGTGCACACCACCATGCCTGGCTAATTTTTGTATTTTTAGTAGAGATGGGGTTTCACCATGTTGGCCAGGCTGGTCTTGAACTCCTGATCTCAGGTGATCACCTGCTTTGGCTTCCCAAAGTGTTGGGATTACAGGCATGAGCCACGGTGCCTGGCCATGACTTGCAGGTTTTTCAATTTATTGGAATATAGTTGGTCATAATAGTTTCTAATGATTACTTGAATTTCTGCAGTATCAGTTGCAGTGTCTCCTTTTTAATCTCTGGTTTTATGTATTTGAGTCTTCTCTCTTTTCTCTTAGTCTGGCTAAATGTTTGTTGATTTTGTTGGTCTTTTAAAAAAATATTAACTTTTCATTTCATTGATATTTTATATTTTTAAATTTCAATTTCATTTATTTCTGCTCTGATCTTTGTTATGTTTCCTTCTACTAATTTTGGTTTTGGTTTGCTCTTGCTTTTCTAACTATTTAAGATGCATTATTAGGTTGTTTATTTGAAGTTTTTCTACTTTTTTTGATGTAGGTGCTTTTTGCTATAAACTTACTCCTTAGTACTGTTTTTACTGTATCCCATAGGTTTGTTTTTTGTTTTTTTGTTTTTGTTTATTTTTGGAGACGGAGTCTCTCTCTGTTGCCCAGGCTGGAGTGCAGTGGTGCAATCTTGGCTTACTACAAGCTCTGCCTTCTGGGTTCATGCCATTCTCCTGCCTCAGCCGAGTAGCTGGGACTACAGGTGCCCGCCACCATGCCCAGCTAATTTTTGTTTTTTGTATTTTTAGTAGAGACGGGGTTTCACCGTGTTAGCCAGGATGGTCTCGATCTCCTGACCTTGTGATCCACCCAACTCGGCCTCCCAAAGTGCTGGGATTACAGGCATGAGCCACTGCGCCTGGCCTGTATCCCATAGGTTTTGGTTTGACTTTAAAGTTTTTCTCTTCTCAAAAACTTAGTGTCATGTTACTGGCTTCTAGAGCTTTGGGTAGTGAGACCCTTTTACTTGATAACAGTGGTAGCTGGGACAACTTGGCAATGTAAATAAATAAACGGCATCTAGATTGGAAAGGAAGAAGTACAGTTATCTTTATGTACAGATGACATGATCTTGCATTTAGAAAATCATAAGAAATTTACTAAAAAGTGTTAGGACTCATGAACAAATTTTGGAATGTAACACTATATAAGATTGGTATACAAAAATAACTGTATTTCTTTACCAAGAAATCAAGAATCCAAAAATGGAATTACAAAAATAAATCTTGTTACAATATAATTAAAGCTGGGGTAACTTTAACATAAGAAGCTTAAACTTGAACACTAAAAACTACAATGCATGGTTAGTGTTGGAAACACCTAGGTACCATCCCTGAGCCTTCTCTCCTTGGCTCTGAGGACTTTACCTTCACGGGGTGAGGAAAGGGTTTGCATTCTTGGCTTTTACATTATAGTAGGTGGGTTCGGGGTGAGGTATCTGCAAGTCAAATGACTATTACAATCTCTACTTTTATGTATAGGAGACTGGGGCCCACAAAGAGAGGGAATGACAATCCATATCCTGGAAGGCGAATTGTCAGACACTGATTTCCCCTATGTAAACCCTGCCAATCATCGTGTATTTAAAGGATCCCCGGATACCTTACCAATAGGTGTTCAAGAGAGAGGCCTGTAATCTAGGCGTCTGAGAAAGCAAGGCTAGATATTCCAATATTGGAGACAACAGGGCTCTGGGAAGATTAAGGTTGAGTTTTCTGGATCTGCAGAATAGAGTCACTGAGGAGCAATTGCAAGTTCAGAGGAGATGAAAGAACAAGTCAGGGCATGCTTAGGAAAAGAGAAAACCAGGGATAGATTTTAGGCAAGAGTCACACTGAGGAAGGGCAGGTTCTTGGCGTCGCTCAGGAAGGAATCCAAAAGCAAGCCTGTGGTGGAATAAAGCAGCTCTATGGAGACATTGGCGGTGTTACAGCCCTGCGTCCGCTCCTGCAGGGCAGGGAGCCCTCTGTGGGTTGTGCTCCCAGAGTAGCAGCCTAGGTGTGGCTTGTAGTCATTTTTATAATTCACTTTTAATGACATGCTAATTAAGGGGCGGGTTACTCAGAAATAGCTAGAAATGGGCAGTAACTTCCAGCTGTTTCCATGGCAAGGGGTGGGGACTTCCTGTGTTGCCGTGGCACTGGCAAACTGTCACGGTGCTGGTGGGAGCATCCTCTGGTGATCTGAGGCGTGAAGTGCTTTCGCTGCCTCTCCCAGTTTCCTCTGTGCCTCTTACCTGAAAGCCCTTCACACCCCCATCTACCCACCTACAAAGTTCACTGCCCTTTCACCCCACACCCGTTTCACACGCACTCCCACATCAACCCCAAGCATTCAAGCTGGCAATTTCCCTGTTAGGAACCTCGGTGGTAGCCGGAGCTCTGAAAAACCCCTAGGCAGAACTCCTTGCCTAGTTTGTGGCAGAAATCAGGGAAGGAAAGGCAAAGTTCAGGTATTTCGCACAATAAATAAATAAAGATAGGTAGATTTGATTGATGGATGTATGGATGAAACGTGGGAGTTTATGGGCAAATGTTCATCAGACACTGGAAGTGTAAGTTGTCACAAAGATTATGGAGTGCACTTGTCTTATGACCCTGTTATTTTATCCTAGTATATACACTAGAGCATTTTTTTCTAACTGTGTAAATTGAAAGCTCACAAATTAGTTTCGTGAGAGAAAAGATAACAGATTGGAAGAGAATTACCATATTCATTAGTTGTGTTTTTAAAAATTTAAAGTAAAATAGAGACATGATTTTTTTCATGCTTTCGAATGCATCTATAAAAAATAGACTTGAGGGCTGGGCGCGGTGGCTCACGCCTGTAATCCCAGCACTTTGGGAGGCCTAGGAGGGCAGATCACGAGGTTAGGAGTTAGAGACCAGCCTGACCAACATGGTGAAACCCCGTTTCTACTAAAAATACAAAAATTAGGCGAGTGTGGTGGCGCCCGCCTGTAATCCCAGATACTCAGGAGGCTGAGGCAGGAGAATCTCTTGAACCTGGGAGGCAGAGTTTGCAGTGAGCCAAGGTCGCACCATTGCACTCCAGCCTGGGTGACAGAGCGAGACTCCATCTCAAAAAAAAAAAAAGTTACTCATTAACAGCATAGACCAATTGTTTTCTATTGGAATTTCTCCATTATTTTCACAATGTCCCAGGCTGTGAAACCAGGATTTAATAACGAACCAGAATGCCACATCTGTGTCACGTGGGTAGGGACCAGTCCTGATCCATTAAGTCCGGGTCTCCGGGTAACTGGACTCACTGCTGGGCAAAACAGAATGTCCGGCGTGCGTTCCTAACGGGGGACCGCAGAGCCTCATAGGAAATGTAGTGTCACCTTCCAATGATGTTACCATCAAGGACCTTGGGAACCAGCTTTTCTCTCTGCGCATGCGCCGCCCCGCCCACTTCGCCATTTTCCTCCGGAAGTGCGGATCCCAGCGGCGGTCGTGTAGCTGAGCAGGCCTGGGGCTTGGTTCTATGTCCCTGTGGGTAGGTGCGAGGGCAAAGAGGAACCTGTGGGCCTCGGGGGATCCCGGGGGGCCAGACCAGTGTTCCCCATTTGTGGGGGCAGACGCTTGGGCGCATCGCGGGCAGGAGGGGCTTGACGTGCATTTGCGGGCCGTGGACCCTGGCGGGGGCTGGGAGGACAGACGTGGGGTCCCAGCAGTGAAGCGGGTTCCAGAGGCGCAGGAGTGGGTAGGCGAGGCTGGTGGCCCTGGGCCCGGAGTCTGCAGGCCGCGCTCCTGTCCTGCCACTGAGGGACCCGGTTACCAACCCTCATGTAGCTCAGTTTGCCCATCTGTCCCCGTGCTAACACACAGTTCTCGGGAGACGTTCCCCATTCCCAGAGGAGTAGTGCGAAATGCGTGTGCCTCTAGTCTTCAGCTGGGCGTTTGTATTAGTTGGGTTTCCTGGTGTCTATTTAGCAAGTGAAGTTTCTGGTTCCCTCCTTCACTGTGTGACCTGCCTAGTCCTCCTGGATTGCATTTATGGAAGTTTATACGAGACCTAGTTTCCATGGAGGAACTCACTGATTCCGCGAGGGAGATGGGGTACTGGATGATGGTCTTCAGCCTTAAGAGTACTTCAGTCTTCACTGTGTGTTATAAAGTTTGAAAGGGAGGGTTCCCTATGAATAAGAGGCGCACTTGAAAGAACAGCCCTCTGGTCTAACTTCTCACTGGTGCTTCAGAGGAGGATAAAAGGTCGCAGGTGAAGATCCCAGTTTTCCTCGCTCAGGAAATATTAATTCTACTCCCTAGAATGCACAAGATTTGCAAAGACTAGGTGATAGTGGAAGGTTTGGAAGAACTTTCAGAAGGTTGAGGTGAATTCAGCTGAGAAGAACAGGCAAGGACCTAGGAAATATTCCTTATTTGAAGGGGCCTGAAAGTGTGGTCTGGGGTGCAGGAGTGACCTGTCATACTTGAAAAGATTGAAATACTCTCCAAATACAGTCCCATTCCTTCAAACTTAGCTTGTTGTTTCCAGTGTCTGAGATATATTAAACCTAGTCCATCACCAAATTTAGCATAGATTGTGAAGTTCTATTGATTGCATTTCATTTGTAATTTAAGACTTTCTCCCCCTACATAATTTCGTTAAAAACATATTGAATTCTATTCACTTAGGTGTAACAGTTAATATTTGCTGTTTAAGGAACTAATTAAACCTTACTAGCTTATAAAAAACAACCACCATTTTATTTGTTTGAAGTTCTGTGGATCTGCATTTTGGTGTGGTGGGTTCAGCTGGGTAGTTGATATATTTGTGTTGCCTGGATCACAAAACAGGCCTTAGTCACCTGGTGCCTTGACTGAGCCTGGTTGGTTTAAGATAGTTTCCTTCACAATCTGGTGGTTTGTGGTGACTCTTGGCTAGGCCCTGTGTTTCCAACAGGGTAGCTCCAGACCTCTTCACAATATGACTGTGTCCAAAAAGGCAAGAACCAATGGATATTTGCATCACATTTTCCATTGTCCATTCACTGGACAAGTCAGATGGAAAAGCCCAATTTATTGTCAGAGCATAATATGAGGGCTTGGATACAGGGAAAGGTGTTATTGGGAAACATGAGTAGAACGGTGTACTGCAGGAAATACATATTATGTACATTTTAAAAAACGTAGGCCAAAATTGCTGGGTTGCAAGATGCACTTTCCATGATGTTCAGGTATAGAAAAGCAAGATGTACTGTCATGGGAATACTCATAAGAAGTTATCTGTGGAATCCACATGTTAATAGGAAAATAGTTAATACAGCCCAGTATATTTCTATAACATTTATTTTAGTGAACTTATAATGTTTCTTTGTATTAAATTATTAGATTATATCTTTAGGTAATATTGTTACTAAATTTGTAGGTACTACATATTTTTATTCAAAAATAAATTGTGCATCTAATGTCTACCAATTAATGTACTTGTAGATGTATCTTATCTTAACTTGAGTCTTTGCTGCCCCTAATGAGGTGTGAAGGACTCTTCTCCCATGGGGAAGTTTTTCTTTTTCCGGAGGGAGGAGGGCTTTTCCAGGTAATGTGTCTAGAGTGTTGGGCAGAAGAATCTGGGACCACACCTCACCAGTTCTCTCCTTAATCGACATCATTTGCCTTCTCTTCCAGCTATGTTTCCAGTGTCCTCTGGGTGTTTCCAAGAGCAACAAGAAACGAATAAATCTCTGGTGAGTTTTTTATTTGTTCTTCACTTTGTTTTACACTGTATTTTCTGAGTTTATGGGTGTCTGTGAATTAAAAAGGAAAAGTGGAAATAAGTAAAACTCAGGTTGAAGGAAATATACATAAATAAGATAAAGCTGACCTGTAGATATAGACAGGTTATAAAAGCTTAGAGTTGTCTAAGTTGAGTGCAAAGTTTCCTCTGATCTTTCTGATGCCGAAACAAAAAAGGCAGTCATGTTTGTTACGTGATTGGAATGGAACCCGAAAAGAGAGCATGCTGTGTTCTTGTGGGACAGGAAAGCTTGTGTGCACCAAGTCTTAACCACCACCTTCATTGGTGACATAGATTATGTGCTGGAACATATTTCACACCGGTCTGGCAGTAAGCACTTGTAGTGTTGTGCAGTGGAAACAGTCATCTTCCGCTAAGGCATGGCGTGTTGTGCAGTGGAAATGGTCATTTTCCGCTAAAGCATGGCGTGTTGTGCAGTGGAAATGGTCATCTGACGCTAAAGCACAGCATGTTGTACAGTGGAAATGGTCATCGTCTGCTAAAGCACGGCGTGTTGTGCAGTGGAAATGGTCATCTCCTGCTAAAGCACAGCTTCCATCATAAGGTATGCTCCTTGCTCAAAGAGTGTGGTCCCAAACAGCTTTTGGGAGGTCCTCCTTGACTCATGGATGAAACCCAGAACATCTTGAGGACTGAGTTAACCACAGGTCCTTAAATAACTCTCCACACATTTTTCTTAGTTTATCTCTACATGCAGGGTGTGCAGCAGCCTGTTCAAAGTCACATTTTCTGGGAAATATTTTCAGTGTTTATTTGCAATTTAGCCCACTCTGTGTAGTCTTAACTTATTTCTTCTAAACTCACCATTAACCTAAATAATAGTCAAATTTAGGGGGGCTGTATTTGTCTTACTCGAGTCTTCTACCATAGTTGAAACTGTCGTACCCAAACGAGTTACAGAGAAATGCCACACTTTGAGACGAATTCAGGAGTCCTTTATTAGCTGGTGACTGAGAGACGGCTAACACAGGAAATACTCTCGGCCCTAAAGAATGGGCTAGATTTTCTTTTATACATTGGTTTAGAGAGGGGAGGGGGGATTCCAGCTGCAATAAACTTACAGAAGAAAAAACAGACAAAAAACTTAAAAAGACAGATGGTTACAGGAAAACAAACTGTTCCAGGTGCAGAGGCTTTAAATTCACCACAAAGTGATGAGTGAGGGGGCTCTGGGCATTATCTTCCAGACAAATGTGGGGGCTTTATGATATTATCTCTGAGTAATTTGCTGGGAACTGCGGACATCACTTGCCTCAGCACTTTATCAGTTAATTGCACTCTTTGATATGTTGAAAATCAGCTTGCACAAGTTAAAGTCCTTGAGGAAAGGGGGTGGGTAAGGAGCCCTTGATGTCTTGTAAATGAAGGAGCCAAATGGAGTTTGTCTGGTTTTCTCAGCTAAGGGAGAGTCTATTCATATTAAAAACAAGGTTAGCTATCTAAGGAAGAGTCTATTCATGTTAATACAACGTTGGGTATTATAAAACATCTGTTCATGATCTGGAAATTCTTCCGTGTTAGTTCTGTTAAAAGAAAAACTTTAAAGGAGTTTAATTGAGCAATAAACGATTCATGAATCGGAAAGTCCCCAGAATCACAGCAGATTCACAGAGACTCCAGCACAGTCATGTGGTGGAAGAAGATTTGTAGACAAAAGGGAAGTGGCATACCGAAATCGGAAGTGAGGTACAGAAACAACTCAGCGTTTGCCTTGTTTGAGCACAGTTTGAACATTTGGCAGTGCCTGAGTGGTTGAAGTTTGGCCATTGGGATTGACCAAGATGTAGCTGTTGTTTGAGGTGCATACACTCAAGTTAGGTTTTCATTCTTGTTTACCTATTAAGGTAGGTTGCAGGTCATCCACAAGGACTCATATATATAATTATGGAGTCCTTCTCAGGACATACTTAGTTCACTTTAACAATGCCTTCCCTTTGGTTATTTTCTCAATTTTGAGAGACTGGCCAAAACTTCAGTCACTGGTGTCACTATTACCCTTGCAAATGTACTTATTTGGTTTAGAAACCCACTGGGAAATAGAACAGTGAGATTTGAAAAGGTGGAACAAGGACTTGAGTAGAAGGTGTCTTCTTATGCTGGAACATCCTGTTTACAGGAGAAAAACAAAACCTGGTTTGTTCTAGGATTTATGTGTTTCCTTAAAGTCTTAGTTTGATTATGTTCCATTTAACATGAGTGACTCCATTTTGGTTTGGTTTGTTCTGTTGGGACCTATTGCATGAGCTTAGTTCAAAACAATGGCCTCCCATAATTTTGCTTAAAAAATTCCTCCTTTTGGCTGGGCACGGTGGCTCATGCCTGTAATCCCAGCACTTTGGGAGGCCGAGGTGGGCAGATCACGAGATCAGGAGATTGAGACCATCCTTGCTAATACGGTGAAACCTCATCTCTACTAAATACACAAAAAAATAGCCAAGCATGCTGGCGGGTGCCTGTAGTCCCAGCTACTCAGGAGGCTGAGGCAGGAGAATGGCCTGAACCCGGGAGGCAGAGCTTGCAGTGAGCCGAGATCATGCCACTGCACTCCACTCTGGGGGACAGAGCAAGACTCTGTCTCAGAAAAAAAAAAAAATCCTCCTTTTCAGTCAAGTTCTCACTTAGTTGAGAGTGTGACCAAAATGTAGGGCCTTAGCCTCACTCTTAGTTACCATTGTTTTGGGTTTCCGGTTTAGCACATCACTCCCATTGTTTTGGGTAATGGTTTTAGCACGTCACTCCCATTGTTTTGGGTTCTGGTTTTAGCATGTTACTCCCATTGTTTTGGGTTTCTGGTTTAGCATGTCACTCCCATTGTTTTGGGTTCTGGTTTTAGTACATCACTCCCATTGTTTTGGGTTCCGGTTTTAGTACATCAGTCCCATTGTTTTGGGTTTCTGGTTTAGCATGTCACTCCCATTGTTTTGGGTTTCTGGTTTAGCATGTCACTCATAGGTTACGGTGTCCTTATGATTGCACATTTTTTTAATCTGTTGTCATTCCAGTTGAAGAGATACCATTTGACATTTTAGAGATGGCTGCATGCAAACTCTTAAAACATTTGAGTAAGTACAGTGCACCAGGGAGACTCTTATGACTATTGGGATAACACCAAGAATTTGGTATATGCTCCTTACTCAGGGTCCCCATAAATCAAACCACCTAAAATCAAATAGATTAAAGAATGAATTAGATAAAGAGTTTACTTGCTTAACTAAGTGGGTTTTTTTGTTAATTCCCTACAACCAAATCTTTATAATACCCGATGTTTTCTCCATATGCCATGTTAGCAGCTGCACAGATACTTAAGATAAGAGTCTCATAATAGTAGAGAAGTCTTGATCTGTGATCTTGGGAAAAGCTGTTCACATTAAGGATGCCATCTTCTTCTGGGGGGGAACTGTCCTTGTTAGCTTTACCTTAAGGGTTCCAAGGGGTGTATGGTTCCAATTGTGGAGGGACCCTTCTGAGTTGTAAGACTATGAACCCAAAGTTTAAGGTTTTAATGTTTTGCTGTCATGTGAATGGCAAGGGCAGTCCTCTGATGTTCTCAGAAGATCCAGTCATCAGATTCTAGATTGTGAAGGGGTTGGCTGTCCTCTGTGAACCATAAAAGTCTTTCTTTATCTGGTGAAAATACACTTCAGCATAATAATCTACTGTTTTAACATCAACCCTCTTGCATGGAAGAGCTTTTTTACAATCAGAAAACATGCACTGAAAATGACAACTGAATGAAATCCCTTTATAAAATGTTTAAATGGCCCATCAGGTAACCAAATGCACCTGAAGTTTTGATTGTTTTCCTAGGAATATAGGTTTGACAAACCAAACATTGATTATAAACTATTTTAGCAATTTAGAGATCACCACAGCAATATATTTAATTTGGATCATTTTCTCTTTCCATGATGAGTTATGGAATGCAGAACTTTTAATAACAAAAGTTTTAAGGACTTAAGACGGAAAGGTGGCCATCCTGGTTCTTCATAAGTCTGTGCTTAATTAACATTAGACTTACATCCTCTTGAATACCAGCTGTTTCTTCAAATTAGGTGCATGGCACTGGTAACTGATGAGTTATAGGTAATTTGGCTTAGACCATGGAGTTTATTTAAATTATATATCTAAACAATTTCAATATTGGTGATTTAGCATGCAAATCTGGAAAATATTTCCTTGATATTCAATTTTTGTTTTACTTGGGTTAGCAGTTTTATAAACCAGTTGGTCTTCTTATTAAACTTTAGGATTTTTTTTTTTTTGAGACAGAGTCTCACTCTGTTACCTAGGTTGGAGTGCAGTGGCACAATCTTGGCTCACTGCAACCTCCGCCTCCTGGGTTCAAGTGATTCTCCTGCCTCAGCCTCCCGAGTAGCTGGGATTACAGATGCATACCACCACACCTGGCTAATTTTTGTAGTTTTAGTAGAGGTGGGGTTTCACCATTGGCCAGGCTGGTCTCAAACTCCTGACCTCAAGTGATCCACCAGCCTCGGCCTCCCAAAGTGCTGGGATTGCCAACATGAGCCACTGCACCCAGCCTAACTTTTGAGAATTCTTAACCAGTCCAATTATTGGGGGATCGGGAAACTTATGGGGAATTTTTACCCATGATATTAAAGTTATTAGAAACCTGTGTTCCCGAGTGTTTTTCATGGTCCTTTTCATTCTTTCATGAATCTTCTATTCTAGAATTTTGCATGCTTGTGAAGTTTTTAGAAACTGCATCATCATTAAGCAATTAACTGTGGAAATGACTTTAAATAGTTATAGTTAAAGACAATTGATAAGGAAATTTGGTTATTTCTGTGGTCTACAATAACTTAATAACCATAATTAGGGTGGATGTGGTGGCTCATTCCTGTAATCCCAGCTCTTTGAGAGGCCAAGTTAGGTGGATCACCTGAGGTCAGGAGTTTGAGACCAGCCTGGCCAACATGGTAAAACTCTGTCTTTACTAAAAATAAAAAAAAAATTAGCCGGATGTGGTGGCAGTTGTCTGTAATCCCAGCTACTTGGGAGGCTGAGGCAGGAGAAATGCTTGAACCCAGGAGGTGGAGGCTTCAGTGATCCTAGATCACACCATTGCACTCCAGCCTAGGTGACAAGAGCGAAACTCCGTCTCAAAACAAACAAAACAGGTAATTATGATAGATAGCATATAGGCATATTAGAATTTTAGAATCCTGGCCAGGTGCAGTGGCTCACGCCTGTAATCCCAGCACTTTGGGAGGCCAAGGTGGAAGGATCACGAGGTCAGGAGATGAGAACATCCTGGCTAACACGGTGAAACCCCATCTCTACTAAAAATACAAAAATTAGCTTGGCATGGTGGTGGATGCCTGTAGTCCCAGCTACTCGGGAGGCTGAAGCAGGAGAATGGCATGAACCCAGGAGGTGGAGGTTGCAGTGAGCCGAGATTGTGCCACTGTACTCCAGCCTGGGTGACAGAGCAAGACTCCGTCTCAGGGGAAAAAAAAAAAAAAAGAATTTTAGAAATCCTATACAATTTTAGAACGGGTTGATGACATAAACTAAATATAACCTGAAAAAGGTTCAACATTATGTTTTATTTTGACAGTGCTACCCATGTGACTTAACATGTTAAATAGTCCTGTTTACCTCTCTTTTGGGTGCTTCAAGGGCGTCTGTAGTATCCCAAATTTAGAGGTCAGAAAAGACAATTTTGAAGTTGAAATTTGATTTTGGGAAGCCTATTAAATATATTAAAAGTTTAAACACTTGATGTTATGAAATAGAATTCCAGGTCACCGTAAGTCATTCATTTACTTAAAATCATGACTTAAAAAAGTTTTAAAGGGCAAAAATCTTTACTCATTGATAGAGGGAAGACATCTTCACAAACGATCTGCCTCTTGTTTTTCCTTTTTTTTTTTTTGGTAGTTTATTTAAAAGGCAAACAAATTTTTCATTATTTTTTAATATTACCTGAACATCTTCTTTAAAGAGAGAAAGCCAAATGTCACCCACTTTTTCATAAAACCTTATAGACAAACCTATTATTCTTTCTTTTTTTTTTTCAGATGGATTTTCCCTCTTGTTGCCCAGGCTGGAGTGCAATGGTGTGATCTCGGTTCACTGCAACCCCCTGCCTCCCGGGTTCAAGCGATTCTCCTGCCCCAGCCTCCTGAGTAGCTGGGATTAGAGGCATGTGCCACCATGCCCAGCTAATTTTGTGTTTTTAGTAGAGACGGGGTTTTTCCTTGTAGGTCAGGCTGGCCCTGAACTCCTGACCTCAGGTGATCCACCTGCCTCAGCCTCCCCAAGTGTTGGGATTACAGGCATGAGCCACTGCACCTGGCCATTTTTTTTTAAAGATTGCGTCTTGCTCTGTCACCCTCCTCACCACATTATAGCTCTGGGGGCCAAGCTGCATCACAATGGAAAATCATGGAATCACAGGAAGAATCCACTCAGCTTTGCAAGATGCTGCCCAAGGGGTTGCTTGGAGTAACCAAATTAACATTTTTCATTCTGCCCAGAGCAAAATACATGTGACAAAACATAGACACGTGCCACTTTGCTCAGCACCCAGTATCAAACTGGTAAGACTCAAACTTGCTCCCAGATGGGCGGTGCCATCTCTAAATCTTTTTAGAAGCTTCTGCATATTAATAGGCATCCCTAGATGAGACTAATTTGGGAACCCTCATTTTTAAATGCACTTCAGGGCATTATTCATTTGAAATGTTCCACTGTAAGTTATCTTAATAAGATTTTGCCATTTCTGTAAGACTTTGCTGCTTCCCAGGCCTAATGTATTAGCCAGAAGGAGCTTAGTTTTCCAGAAATTAAGGATCCTATTTTTACCTAAAATATTGGCTTTACTCCCAGGTTCCCTTCATTAACTTAGCCAATGATTTTTTTTTCCTGCCTAAGCGTGCGAGAAAAATGAAACAAAGGGGTAGAACACAAAAATCCCTGTGAATTTTCAAAAGCCAAATGTTACAATCTTCCAATATTATCATTTACTACCACTTTCCTTCTGACCCAGTCAGATGTAGGAGGCCTCTAACTGGAACTGGATTCAAGCCAATTAACTACTGGATCAAATCTGATCCTGGACCCGGTCCCTTTTCTGTTATAACTTCTAAAACATCCAGCCAGTCATGGCTGGATAGCAGTTTGGAACAGAAATTTGCTCAAAGAAACTCAGAGCTCAAAACACAAATCCATGGAGCTCTGAAATCCGAGAGAAAATTTACCATGATCTCCAGCTGCTCCGAGAGATCAAAGGACACAAGTGTTACAGAATCCTGAGGTGTCACTTTTCTGCCTGAAACCTCTGGCTGGTGGCACCTTTACCTGTGTTTTGCTCGGGCCCACTGGGTTAGTTCTGTCCACTCAGCTCATGCTAGTGGTCTGGATCCCACACCTGCCAAGGGCGAGCTGGGTACAGAGCAGTGAGGGGTGTGTGAGCAAGCGAGCATGGGATCTGGCCACTGCACACAGCCAAGCATGCCAGCTGCAGTGGGGTGGGCAGCTCCAGGCACAGGTGCCAGCTCCCTGTGAGGCTGCAGCTGGACCAGGCCGACTGCAAACAACTTCCACTGTGGGTATCAGGGAATGCAGTGGCACCCAGAAGCTTGGAGATGCAGGACCTGCAGAGCCCCAAAGAAGGTGTCACAGCCCTGGTTGGAGGAGCTCCTAGGTCTGTGTTCCCTGAAGGGACACAGCTCTTCTCTCCTTCTCTCTTCTCTTCTTCTTGCCTGCAATTTGGCAAGAAAGGATAGCGTTTCAGCCCTGTTTATGTTACACCTCTTTCAGCCCTGCTAGTTGGCAGGTCCTGAGTTCTTGTCCTGAGTCCAGGAAAAATGAGGTATGTGGACAAGTAGAAGGTGAGCAAGGTGAAGAGGTGCTTTATTGAGCCACAGTACAGCTCAGAGGAGACCTGCAGTGGGTAGCTCCTTTCTGCAGGCAGGTCATCCCAACGTCTGTTCAGCTCTCAGCAGCTGAGAGGAGACGCACGGTGGGTAGCTGTGCCCATAGTGCCCAGGCGTTCGAGCTGAGGAGGGCCTTCCGGCCACTGCTGAGCCACTCTTAGCCACACCTCAGCCTCCCTCCTGTGCTTGCCAGTGCCCAAATTCTGGAGGGGGCCGAGGTGGCAGGGGGCTGGCATGTCAGCACTGCCCTGAGCTTGCACAAACCAGGCCAGGTTGTGACTGTGCCCAGGTTTGGCCTCAACTTGGATCTGAATTTGGAGTGGGCTCTGGAAGCAGAGAGACGCCAGGTGGCAGGACCAGGTACAACTGAGCCTGCGGGGCAGGGGGGCTTGCTGGGCCTCTGAGAGTGCAGAGATGCCTGGGTTTGCAGTCATGGCTGGATGGCTGCAGCTGTGCCTGGGAGGGCGGGGCTCCTGCCTGATAATTTAGAAGGGGCAGGTCTCCCACCCATTCCTGGCTCCCACCAGCTCTGAGGAGTGCACAGCCCCAGCCACTCCTCCCCACTGCAGCCAGTGTCTCCATAGCAACTGCTCCACGTGGGCCACTGCTGCCATCACAAATGGGTCCTTTCAGGTTCCTTCCTTGTACCTCAGCACTCTGGGGGTCATTAGAAGGCTTAGCAACACTGCTCACCACAGTATAGCTCCAGAGGCCCTAGCAGTCCTGCTCCCACGGATCCCACTTCTGACACCATCTATTAAAAGAAAATCTTCAGCTGAATTAAATTTAAAGGAGCTTAATTGAGCAATGAATGATTCACGAATCAGGCAGCCCCCAGAATCACAGCAGATTCAGTGAGACTCCAGCACAGACACATGGTGGAAGATTTATAGACAATAAAGGGAACATGATGTACAAAAATCTGAAGTGAGGAGTGAGGTCTAGAAGCAACTGGGTCCATTACAGTTCTCAGCAGTGAGGTCCAGAAACAACTGGACTGGTTACAGTGCTCAGCATTTGCCTTATTTGAACACAGCTGACCACTCAGCAGTGTGTGAGTGGCAGAAGTTTGGCTGTTGGGATTGGCCAGGACTCAGCTACTGTTTTAGGCACATACTCCTAAGTTAGGTTTTCAGTCTTTCTACCTATTAAGTTAGGTTGCAGTTTGTCCACAGGGACTCAAATCTAGAAGTACAGAGTCCTTCCCAGGCCATATTTAGTTCACTGTAACAGTTCCTATTATGACCTCACTGACAGTTCTTTTTCTCTGAATTCTCCTTTCTTCTCAACAGCTTATCCAAATGTTCCATTGGTCCCTGTTCATCTTGCCCTGCAGTTCTCCTTGACTGATTCAGCCCTTTGTGGTTTGCAGTCCTGTTTCTCTACAGCTTGGACCTCTTCAGTCTTTCCATCATAGGTTTAACTCTCTGTTGAATGCTTCTTTGTAGCTATCCAAATTTACCTTAAGCTCAAAAAATTCGAAGTGAAAGCCACATCCTCTTCTCTTCCTTATGTGTATGGCATTACTACCATGCAGCCAGTGACCCAAAATGGGATTTCTTCTGGGCTTTTCTTGCTTAGATTCAGGCTCATCTGGTGTCAAGCCTTGTTGCTTTTGTTTCCTTGTTCTTTTATTTTTATTTTTATTTTTTGAGACAGAGTTTCGCTCTTGTTGCCCAGGCTAGAGCGCAGTGGTGTGATCTCAGCTCACTGCAGCCTCCACCTCCTGGGTTCAAGCAATTCTCCTGCCTCAGCTCCTGAGTAGCTGGTATTACAGGCATGTGCCACCACGCCCGGCTAATTTTGTATTTTTAGTAGAGATGGGGTTTCTCTGTTTTGATCAGGGTGTCTCGAACTCCCGACCTCAGGTGATCCACTCGCCTCGGCCTCCCAAAGTGCTGGGATTACAGGCGTGAGCCACCGTGCCTGGCCTGCTTGTTGTTTTCATCTCATCCTGATTTCCAAATACAGGAGAGAAGCTGAATTGGTGTTCACTAACAAGCACAGGAGCTTTGTTATATTTACAGTGTCATTCTTGGCAAAACCTGAAGGGTGTGTTCGTGGGGTGATGAGGTTCAGTCACCTGTGATCTGTGCATCTGGCCAGCACTGTGGTGACATCCTTAGGAATCCATGGGGAGAGAGAAAGCATTCAGGAGTTAGTGGGTCACGTTTGACAAGGGCCAATAAAGAAATATGCAAAGACAAAAAACAAGAAGAACATTGTCATATTTTCTACCTTTTGTTTATATAAATTTATATCAATGATTTTAGCTTATGTTAATATGCAATGTATATAATATGCTAACATTTACAATATATGTTTATAGTTTAAACATTTCTGTCATATTTTCAGATTCTTTAAAGATTATATTATGCTTCCTATTTCAGATAGCTGCTTAAAATGAGTAAGGAAAAACGGATGTGTGCATCAGTTCCAACTGTTTATGGACTAAAACTAGTTGATTTCTTGGTTAAGAACAAAAAGTGACAACCTAATTAACTGAAAATTTTAAGTGGGCAATTATAGTTTTAGCTTTAACGTAAAATATTAACTATTCTCCAATCTTGCATTTTTAACCTAATACTCAATATAAATCGCCACATGCCATGTTTCAGATCAAGGTTTTACTTGGGATCTCTCATGAGTTTTTCAAGGTTTTAATTATCTGCAATGTAACAATGTACCAGTAACCTTACTGGCTTAAACCAGGAATTTATTCTTTTTACATGTCACAATTTTCTGGGTCAAGACACTGGACAGGGCAATGTGGGTTGGCTGCTTCATGATGTCCCTGGTCTCATCTGGAAGGACTCTAGTGGCTGGGGACGTGAAGCAGGCACCAGAAGGACTCTAGTGGCTGGGGACATGGAGCAGGCACCAAGCCCTCTCTTTGTGGCCAGCACGGACTTCCTCCCAGTCTGGCAGTGTCAGGTAGTCAGGTTTGTCTGGCTTCTCCCAGTGTATGTGTCCAAGAGGCCCAGGCAGAAGCTGTAAGGTCTCTCATGATCATCCCTCAGAAGTCCCAGAACATCTCTCCTGCCACACTGTCCAGTCGTACTCATCACTGAGACCAGCCATGATTCAAGGGGGGAAGGTGATTAGATTCCACCTCTTGATGAGAAGCATAGTAGGAACCTGCAGCAGTCTTTAATAAACCACAGTTTGTCCTCTGGCCACAAACTACTAACGTTTCTCCCACATGCAAATTATGCTTTGCCCCTCTCAAGAGTCCCAGAGTGGTTTTCCTTATGGCACTGGCTGGTAGCCCAACTGAATCCTGAATCAGGTTGTGGTGGCCTGTCACCTGCACCCACACACACTCAGCCGCAGTGAGGACTGAATCAAGTTGTGGTGGCCTGTCATCTGCCCCCCCACACACAGCCACAGTGAGGACTGAATCAGGTTGTGGTGGCCTGTTGTCTGCCCCTGACGCACTCAGCCACAGTGAGGACTGAATAAGGTTGTTGTGACCTATCATCTGTGCCCACACACTCAGCCGCAGTGAGGGGACTGGTGTGAAAACAGTCGGCATTTCCCTGTAGAAGCTGTTGGTGGGAGGCAGGAGGGAGGTGCTGCCCTGCAGGCCCCGTCTAACAGTTGGTCATTACCATGGGGCGCCTGTTACAGTTCTGTGATTAGTGCCCAGTCCAGGTCCCTGAGAACGGCGCCCAGTCCTTGTCCCTGAGAACGGCGTTTGTGTCCTTTTACTCCTCCCTCTGGGCTTTTGTCATTCTCCATGTTCTTTTTCCTTCAGTGCCTGGGTTGCCGTTGACCAACTTTCTCTGCCTTTTTCTTATGGTCAATAGGGTATTCAATGGCTTCTTTATAATTTTTTTTTTTCTTTTTTTTTTCTTTGGCCTTTTGAGACAAGAAATTATTTCTTTATATTTTCTCTAAATTTTGTTTGAAAACTGAACTTCCTTCTTTAGATCATGTCCCTCTCCTGTCATGTTTATTCAGTGACAGTTAGGGGAGGCTGATAGCACTTTCCATGTTCTTCCCAGATGTCTCCTTAGGCAGATCCCTGAGATGGTGCAGTGCCCTTTCAGTTTCCATGTTGTGGCCATAGTTTTCTCACAGTCCCTCAGCACATAACTCTCAGGCCTTTTCCCCAGTTTCCAATGACATTTTCTCACCGTCTTTCAGGCCCTGACCAAGAGTCTTGTTGCCCTTCCAGGTTGCATGAATGTTCTCCTTGAGGCCCAGTTACAGGTCAGCCTCACAGTCGTGGCACATATTGTAGCTTCTGATTACCACAGCGGCTCATTTCCAGCTACAATATTCTGTTCCAGTTATCTATTCTGAAGAAACCATCCCCAAAACTTGGCAGCTTAAAACAACTCATTATTACTTGTTTTTTGGCTTAGAGAGTCTTGGTGGCCAGCTCATCTCACACACAGTTGCAGCCAAGCTGGATTGTGTGAAAGCACAGCGGGGTGGTGTGCAGGGTGGCTCACTAGTGGTTGGGAGGGGATGTTGCTGAAGGCTCACTAGTGGTTGGGAGTCGGTGTTGCTAGAGGGTCAATGGGGGATGTCAATGCATGTAGCTAGTCATGGACTGGCCGTGTGGTTTCCATCATGGGGTCTCAGGGGAGTGGGATTTCCTGCCTGGTGACTGGCTTTCTCCTGGATAAGTGTTCTGTTTTCTCAGCCTGGCTTCTGAAGTCCCCAAATACCACCTTTGTCACCTTCTGTTGGCCAAGCAAGTCAGTAGTCTGGGCAAGGTTTAAGGGGAATTGGTTCTCACAGAGAGAGGAGCAGGAAAGATGTTGTCACCTTTAGTCTACCAGAAATATGATTTTTATAACAAGTTTGTTCCAAATACATTCCAGTTCCCCTTGTGAATACTTTTTTGACTTACAGGGTATTTCAAAGTTTATTACTTGGTTTTCAGACATTTGAGGCTTTTCTGGATATCAATTTGTTGTTGGTTTCTAATTTAATTTCAGGTGTTCAGACAACATACTTTGTATACTATTTCATGCTTGAACATTTTCTCAATTGATCGACAGTCTATCTTGGTACTGCCAAGTACCATTTGGGTCAGGATTTTGTCATTTAGATCCGTATTTTTCCTATATTTTTATCTGGTTGTTCCATCAGTTACTGAGAGAGCAGTATTAATTCACCAGTTATAATTTTGGATTGTCAATTTCCTGCTTTTGTTCTGTTGTTTTTGATTTACATAATTTGAGGCTCTGTGTGTGTGTGTACTTTGTGTGCAATTTGAGGCACAATTTATAATTGTAACATCATCCTCTCTGATTCTTTTATTTTTATGAAATTACCTTGTTTATTTCTGGTGATATATTTTTTTTCTGGAGCCTCTTTCATCTAGTGTTAACATCTCCATTGAAGCTTTTTATGATTAGTGTCTGGATAGCATATTTTTATGATTAGTGTCTGCATAGCATATTTTTTCTCATACTTTGTGTCTTTGTATTTAAATTGTGTCTCTGTGGATGCCATATTGTTGGGTCTTGCTTTCCTCTCAGGTCTGGCAGTCTCTGTCTTAAGTAGAGTATTTGTCCAGTTACATTGTAACTAATCATTGCTAAGGTTGGATTTAGGTCTGCCATTTTTCTACTTATTTTCTATTTGTTTGTTTTTTTTTTTTAAGACAGGGTCTTGCTCTGTCACCGAGACTGTAGTGCAATGGTGCAATGTTGGCTTACTTCAACCTCTGCTTCCCAGGCCCAACCAATCCTCACTGGAGCCCACTGAGTAGCTGGGACTACAGGCGCATGGAAACACACCTGGCTAATTTTTATATTTTTTGTAGAGATAGGGTTTTGCCATGTTGCACAGGCTGGTCTTGAACTCCTGAGCTCAAGCAATCTACCCACCTTGGCCTCCCAAAGTGTTCGGATTACAGGCATGAGCAACCATGTCTGGCCTTCGTCTGTGTTTTGATCTTCTATATATTCTTTCCTAACTTCTTTTGGGTTAAATATTTCTAAATACTCCAGTTTGATTAATATTTTGGCTTTTTGAAATATTTTTTTATAGGCTGGGCATGGTGGCTTATGCTCATAATCTCAGCTCTGAGGGAGGCCAAGGGAGGTGGATTGCTTGAGCCCAGGAGGTTGAGACCAGCCTGGGCATCATGGCAAAACCCTCTCTACAAAAAAACCAAACCAAAATTTAGCCTGACATCTTGGTGTGCACCTGTAGTCCCAACTATTTGGGAGGCTGAGGTGGGAGTGTTGCTTGAGCCTGGGAGGTTGAGGCTGCAATGAGCTGTGATCATGCCATTGCACTCCTTCCAGGGCAACAGAGTAAGACCTTGTGTCAAAAAAGATCATTTTTTATAAATAATTTATTATTTAGAATTTTGGTAACAAACACATACCTTAAAATTTACCGTCGTAACTAGTTGTAAGTATACAGTTTTGTAGAGTTAAGAATATTTACGGTGTTGTGTAGCAGATTTCTAGATTTTTTTTTTATCTTGGAAAACTCTATACCCATTCAACAACTATTAATTTCCCCCTCCTTCCACCCCCTGGCAAGTACTATTCTACTTTGTGTTTCTAAAAATTTGGCTTATATACCTAGGGTTATATAATATTTGTTGTTTTGTAAGTAGGTTCCATGTTATGTGTCAGATGTGTCACGATTTTCTTCCTTTCTATGGCTGAATAATATTTCTTCATATATATATTATATATATATTACATATATATTATATACATACATTATATATATTATATATATTATATATTATATATATATATAATATATATCATATATATATATGCTTTTGTTTATCCACCTATTCCTGGATGGACGTTTTTGTTTCTTCCACCTTGTGGCTGTGTAATGCTGCTGTGAACTTAGGTGTGCACATATCTGTTTGAGGTCCTGCTACTAGTTATTCTGTCTCTGTAGTAGTTGGATGGCTGGATCATATGGTCATTTTATTTTATTTTTTTTTGAGGAGCCAGTTCATATTTCCACCAACAGTGTTCAAGGGTTTCAGTTTCACCTGCGCTTGTTACTTTCTATTGGGTTTGAAGTGATGTCCCATTGTGGTTTCTTTTTGCATTTCTCTAATGACTAGTGATGTTACACATCTTCTCATATATCTCATGTATCTGTTGGCTATTTGTATATCATCTTTGCATCTTTGGATAAATGTTGTTTGTCCATTTTTTAATCACTTTATTTTGTTGTTGGGTTGTAGCGGGGTTTTTTGTCATGATCATTCATTTATCTCACAGTTCATTCTCATTACTTGGGCCAGGGTCATGATCATTCATTATCTCTCAGTTCATCCTCATTACGTTGGGCAAACAGTCATGCTGCAGGGTATAGATTATGTTATTCTGTTACTTTCAGGTAGAATTGGGGTCTAGGTTATAATTGTTTCTAAGTTTAGATTCTGAATGAGAATCAGCAGAGGTAGACCACCACTGCTGGGGCCTGGGGATTGCTGGGAAAAAGGCAGGAAACAAATACAGACCTGACCATGGAGGGTTTGTGTTTCATGGCTCCCATCTGGGTACCCAAGGAACCTACATGTAGGTCGTGTGTGGAGAGCCTACATTGCCCACTCAAAGCAATTGAGGATGGAACAGTCTTGGGGCTGGAGCTCATTATTTGGAATGATAACCACATCTGCACAGAGAGGACCTGATAAGATGTTGTCCTTCCATGTATATCTGGGAATCCTGTGTAGGGTCTCTCTGTAAGGACGGGGCAGTGTCGGCTCCTTGGCCTCTAGTTAGCCTCACGAGTAGTCTAGTAAAGGCTTTGCCAACTTGTCACCATCTGTGGATATTCTGGCCAGCTCTTGTTTTCACCCTACTGACTTCTTCAGACACTAGGCTTTTGCTTTAGACCATTCATGGTTTTTCTTCCTCTTCAAATCAGTAATCAATAAATCCTCTTCAAATCAATAAATTTCCACTCCTTTAGGAAACTCTGATCTTCTGGTCATGCCAAGGTTTAATTAACTGGTTTAATTGTTTTTCTGTTTTCTTCGTTTCTTTTTCTTTCTTCCTTGGGGTTTCTAGTAATTTTAGTTTGATGTCTCACTTTCTCCATTTTTTTATTTCTTAATTTTCTTCTGTGATTATTTTCACTGCAGCTGCAGGGCCTAATCCTGGGTTGGCAGAGAACTAGCACTTACTCTGCCGTAATTGGAATCCGGGAGAGATAGGAGGTGCCCTAGTGTGAAAATGTGTCTGCTCCTCTCTGCTTCTGGTAGTCTCTCTGTAGGAGTACTTTACGTATTCTGAATGTTCACTTCTTATGAGATACATGATGTGCAACTATAGGTTGAATGTCTCTGATCCAAAAATCTGAAATCCCAAATGCTCCAAAGTCTGAAACTTTTTGAGTGCCAACATGACACTCAAAGGAAATGCTTATTGGAGCATCGCAGACTCAGGTGTTTGAATTCGAGATGCTCAACCAGTAAGAATAATGCAAATATTACAAAATCTGAAACACATCCCAAGCATTTCAAATAAGGGACACTCAACTGGTATTTTCTTTTATTCTACAGTTTGCCTTTTACCCTGTTGGTTGTGACCTTTGTGGTACAGAAGTTTTTAGGTTTGATATATTTTTGCTTTTACTGCCTGAGCTTTTAATGTCATATCCTAAAAATTATTGACAAATTCATCATCATAAAGCATTTTCCAAATTTGTTTTCCCTAGGAGTTTGATAGTTCTAGTTTTACAATTAGGTTTATAATTCACTTTGAATTAATTTTAACATGGTGTAAGGTAAGAGTCCAACTTCATTGTTTTGCATGTAGATATACAATTTTCCCAACACCATTTGTTGAAGAAACTGTCCTTCGCCATTGAGTGGTCTTGGCATCCTTGTGGAAGATCATCAGACCATATATGCCAGGGTTGGTTTCTGAGGTCTCTGTTGTGTTGGTCCATAAGTGTGTCAAGTATGTCTTTATGCCATGACCACAATTTTTTTTGGCTTATTGCAGTTTTGTAATTGTTTTGAGACCTTTAATTTTGTTCTGCTTCAAGATTGATTTGCCTATTCATGGGCCCTGGAGATTCCATATGAATTTTAGGATAGGTTTTTCTGTTTATCAAAAATGTTATTGGAATCTTTATAAGGATTGTATTGAATCTAGGTCACTTCGAGTAGTGTTGACATCATTCCAAGATGAAATCATCTAATCTGCAAACCCAGCTTTTCTTTTCATTTATTTGTGTTTAATTTCTTTCAACAGTGTTTTGTAGTTTTCTGTGTTCAAATCTTTTGCCCTTTTGGTTAAGCTTATTTTTAATTTTTATAATGCTGTTGTAAATGTAATACTTTTTTTTTTTTTTGAGATGGAGTCTTGCTCTGTCTCCCAGGCTGGAGTGCAGTGGCACTATCTCAGCTCACTGCAACCTGCACCTTCTTTATTCAAGCGATTCTCCAACCTCAGCCTCTCAAGTAGCTGGGATCACAGGTGCGCGCCAGCACACCCAGCTAATTTTTTGGTATTTTTAGTAGAGACAGGGTTTCTCCATGTTGACCAGGCAAGTCTTGAACTTGTGACCTCAGGTGATCTGCCTGCCTCGGCCTCCTAAACTGCTGGGATTGCAGGCATGAGCCACTGCACCCAGCCAAATGTCATTCTTTTTAAAAATTTCTTTTCTTTTGTTTTATCTTTCTTTTCTTTTCTTTCTCTCTCTTTCTTTCCTTTCTTTCTTTTCTTTGAGATGGCGTCTCACTCAGTTTCCTAAGCTGGAGCGCAGTGGCACAATCTCAGCTGACTGCAACTTCCACCTTCCAAGTTCAAGCAATTCTCCTGCCTCAGCCTCCCAAGTAGCTGGGACTACAGTTGTCTGCCACTACGCCCAGCGAATTTTTGTATTTTTAATAGAGACAGAGTTTTACTATTTATTTTAGAGATGGGTTTGGCCCAGCTGGTCACGAACTCCTGACCTCAGGTGGTCTACCCGCCTTGGCCTCCCAAAGTGCTGGGATTATAAGTGTGAGCCACTGCACCTGGCCTCTCTTTTTAAAATTTTATTTGCAGATTGTTCATTGTTAGTTTATGGAAATGCAACTGACTTGTGTGTGTTACTGTATCCTGAAACTTTGTTGAATTTCATTATTTTACCAGTATTTTGGGAATTTCAGGATTTTTACCCATTACATCCTGTTGTCTGTGAACAAAATTTTGTACTTTTTCCTTTCCAATTTGCATCCTTTTTATTACTTTCTCTTGACTAATTATTCTGAGTAGAAATTCCAGTACTGTGATGAATAGAAGTGGCAGGAAGAGATGTTGTTATCTTATTCCTGATCCTAGAGGAAAAGATTTTAGTCTTTCACCATTGAGTATGATGTTAGCTGTGAGCTTTTCCTGTATAATCTTTATTTACTGAGGAGTTTCCATATATTACTAATTCTTTGAGTGTTTTTATTACAAAAGGTGTTCATCTGGCTCTGGAACCAGATAAACGTTGACCTGATAAATGGATTGGAATGTCCCCTTCTGGTTTTTGAACATTTTTGGAATATTTTGCAGAGGATTGGCATTAATTCTTCTTGAAATATTTGGTAAAATTTTCCAGTGAAGTTATCTGGACATGGAATTTTCTTTTTGGTGGGGTTTTTGATTACTGGTTGAATCTTCTTACTAGTTACAGGTCTCTTTGGATTTTTTATTTCTCCATGATGCAGTATGGTGGTTTGTGTTTCTAGGAATTTATAAATTTATTCTAGGTTGCCCAGTTTTGTGGCATATGGTTGCTCACATTAGTCTCTTGTAATCTTTTTCATTTCTGTGGCATCTGTTGTACTGTCACCTCTTTTACTTATGATTTTAGTATTTGAGATTTCTCTTTTTTCTTAATATAGCTGTGAGTTTTAAAATTTTTATTGATCTTTAAAAAAACAAACTCAGTGTTTTTTTCCTTTTTTCTGGTCTTATTCTGCTTATCTCTGCTCTAATCTGTTATTTTCTTCCTTTTGCTTGGTTTGTCATTAGTTTTTTTCCCCCCCTTCAGGTGTAATGTTAGGTTATTGATTTGAGATCTTTCTTCTTTTTAATTTAAGCACCTGCAGCTATAAGCTTCCCTTTAGCAAGGGTTTCAGATCTTTCTTCTTTTTAATTTAAGCATCTGCAGCTGTAAGCTTCCCTTTAGCATGGGTTTGAGATCTTTCTTCTTTTTAATTTAAGGATCTGTAGCTGTAAGCTTCCCTTTAGCATGGGTTTGAGATCTTTCTTCTTTTTAATTTAAGCATCTGGAGCTGTAAGCTTCCCTTTAGCACTGCCTTTGTTGCCTCCTCCTGAGTTTGGGTATGTCATGGTTTCGTTTTCATTTGCTTAAACATTTTTTGTCCTATTGTAATATAATTGTGTTGTTTTTAATAAAGGTAATTAATGAAACACATAATGAATTGTACTTCTGTTTTTATAACATTTTAAGCATTCTTAACTCAGAAATGTAAATTTTAGAAAAAAATTCCAGGCCAGGCACAGTGGCTCACACCTGTAATCCCAGCACTTGAGGAGGCCGAGGCAGGAGGATCATCTGAGGTCGGGAGTTGGAGACCACCCTGGCCAACATGGTGAAACCCTGTCTTTACTAAAAATAGAAAAAAAAAATATATAAAAGTTAGCTGGGTGTCATGGCGGGTGCCTGTAATCCCAGCTACTCTGGAGGCTGAGGTAGGAGAATCACTTGAATCTGGGAGGCGGAGGTTGCAGTGAGCTGAGATTGCACCACTGCACTCCAGCCTGGGTGACAGAATGAGAGTCTGTCTCAAAAAAAAAGAAAAAAGAAAAAATTTCAGACATATTTATTTGTATTTCAATTTAGAAACTATGATCTCCTAAGTGTATTGACACAGCAACCTGACATAAATATAAAGAATAATAAGCATATAACAAAACGGAAACTTGCAAATACCTGTTTTTTATTAAATTTTAATTATATATATTTAAAAATTGCCAGGTGCAGTGGCTTACACCTGTAATCCCAGCACTTTGGGAGGCTGAGGTGGGCAGATCACATGAGGTCAGGAGTTTGAGACCAGCCTGGCCAACATGGTGAAACCTCATCTCTATTAAAAATCAAAAAATTAGCCAGGCGTGATAGCATGCATCTGTAGTCCCAGCTACTCGGGAGACTGAGGCAGGAGAATTGCTTGAACATAGGAGGCAGAGGTTGCAGTGAGCCAAGATAGTGCCACTGCACTCCAGCCTGGGTGACAGAGTGAGGCTCTGTCTCAAAAAAATAAAAATTGTCTGGGCGCGGTGGCTCACACCTGTAATCGCAGCACTTTGGGAAGCTGAGGCAGGCAGATCACGTCAGGAGATCGAGACCATCTGGGCTAACACTGTGAAACGCCATCTCTACTAAAAATACAAAAAATTAGCCGGGCGTGGTGGCGGGTGCCTGTAGTTCCAGCTACTCCGGAGGTTGAGGCAGGAGAATGGTGTGAACCTGGGAGGTGGAGCTTGCAGTGAGCCAAGATTGCACCACTGGACTCCAGCCTGGGTGACAGAGTGAGACTCTGTCCCAAAAAAATAAAATAAAATAAAACTAAGGTGTGGTTGACATACAAAAATTACACATATTTAATATATACCTTGTGTGTGTGTGTGTGTGTGTGTGTGTGTGTGTGTTATGGAGGTTTTACTCTTGTTGCCCAGTCTGGAGTGCAGTGACATGATCTCAGCTAACTGCAACCTCTGCATCCCAGGTTCAAGCAATTCTCCTGCCTCAGCCTCCTGAGTAGCTGGGATCACAGGCGTGCGCCCCCACGCCCGGCTAATTTTTGCATTTTTTTAGTAGAGACAGGGTTTCACCATGTTGGCCAGGCTGGTCTCGAACGCCTGACCTCAGATCATCCACCTGCCTCGGCCTCCCAAAGTGCTGGGATTGCAGGCGTGTGACACCGAATATATACATCTTAATGAGTATAGAGATAAATATTCGCCCCAGGACTCATCACAACAAATAATACCGTAAACTTGACCATCACCCCCCATATATTTCTCATTCTCACCCTTTTTAAAAAATGAGACCGGGAGTGGTGGCTCACCCCTGTAATCCCAGCAATTTGGGAGGCCAAGGCAGGTGGATCACGAGGTCAGGAGATCAAGACCATCCTGGCTAACACAGTGAAACCCCGTTTCTACTAAAAATACAGAAAATTAGCCAGGTGTGATGGCGGGCACCTGTAGTCCCAGCTACTCGGGAGACTGAGGCAGGATAATGGTGTGAACTCGGGAGGCAGAGCTTGCAGTGAGCCGAGATCGTGCCACTGCACTCCAGCCTGGGCAACAGAGTGTGACTCCGTCTCAAAAAAAAAATGAGATGACCATTTCACCTAAAATATACCCTCTTAAGTATTTTTTTAAGTGTACAATACAGGACGGCCATGCATCAGAGATATATGTGGGTTTGGTTCCAGACCACTGCAATAATTATACAATTTCTTTTTGTTTCCCAGTGCATGTAAAAGTATGTTTATACTGTGCTGTATAAAGTGTGCAATAGCATATGTCTACAAAGTATGCACACTTTAATTTACAAATACTTTATTGTTAACAAGTGCTAACAGTCATCTGAGCCTTCAGAAAGCTGCAATCTTTTTTGTGTGTGTGACAGGGTTTTACTCTGTGGCTCAGGCTGGAGTAATTGCAGCCTCAACCTCATGCTCAATCAAACCCCCACCTCAGACTCCTGACTAGCTGGGACTACAGGTGCATGCCACCATGTCCAGCTAATTTTTGTATTTTTTTTTTTTGTAGAGATGGGGTTTTGCCATGTTGCCTTGACGTCCTGGGCTCAAGCAATCCACCCACCTTGGCCTCCCAAGGTGTTGGGATGACAGGTGTGAGCCACTGCACCTGGCCAAGTTTCAGTCTTCTTGCTGATGGAGAGTCTTATGTTAATGTAAGGTGGTGGTTGCTGAGCGTTGGGGTGGCTGTGGCAATTTCTTAAAATAAGACAACGTTGAAGTTTGCTGTGTCAATTGACTCTCCCTTTCACAAAAGAATTAACTGTAGCATACGATGATAGCTTTTTACCCACAGTAGAACTTTCAAAATTGGACGCAATGCTGTCAAACCTTCGTACGGCTGTACCAACTAAGTTTATGTATTATTGTAAATCATTGGGTTCAATCCTGTCAAGCCTTCCTTCTGCTGTACCAAGTTTATTGTAAATCTGTTGTCATCTCAACATTGTTTACACTGTCTTCACCACGAGTAGATTTCATCTCAAGAAACCACTTTCTTTGCTCATCCGTGGGAGCAACTCATCCTCTCACGTTTTCTCCAGAGGCTGCTGCAGTCTCGCCAGATCTTCAGGCTCTTTCTCTGATTCTAGTGCTCTTGTTATTTCCACCATATCTGCAGTTACTTCCTCCACAGAAGTCGTGAACCCCTGTGTCATCTGTGAGGGTTGGAATAATCTTCCCAACTTCTCTCTCTTTTTTTTTTTTTTTTTTGAGATGAAGTCTTGCCTGGGCTGGAGTGCAGTGATGCGATCTCAGCTCACTGCAACCTCCACTTCCCGTGTTCAAGCAATTCTCCTGCCTCAGCCTCCCAAGTGTTTGGGATTACAGTCACCCCCGACCAGGCCCAGCTAATTTTTTTTGTGTTTTTAGTACAGACAGGATTTCACTATGTTGGCCAGGCTGGTCTCAAATTCCTGACCTCGTGATCCACGTGCCTTGGCCTCCCAAAGTGCTGGGATTACAGGCGTGAGCCACCAAGCCCGGCCCCAACTTCTCCTAATGTTGCTATTTTGATCTTTTTTAAATCATGAATGTTCTCAATGGCATCTAGAATGTTGAATCCTTTCCAGTAGGTTTTCAATTATTTTGCCCAGATCCATCAAAGGAATCACTTTCTAGAGAAGCTATAGCTTTATGAATATATTTTTAAGTGATAAGACTTGAAAGTTGAAATTATTCTTTGATCCAAGGGCACCAGAATGAATGTTGGGTTAGTAGGCATGAAAACAATATTCAGCTCTTTATACATCTCTGTAAAAGCCCTTGAGTACCAGCGGCATTGTCATTGAGCAGTAATACTTTGAAAGGAATCTTATTTCTTGAGCAGTAGTTGTCGACAGTGGGCTTAAGATATTCAGTAAACCATATTTGTAAACCAATAGTCTGTCATCCAGGCTTTGTTCCCATTTGTAGAGTACAGGCAGAGCTGTGTTTTATCATAATTCTTCAGGGCCCTTGGATTTTCAGAATAGTAAATCATCATTGGTTTCAAGTTAACATCACCAATTGCATTAGGCCTTAACAAAAGAGTCAGCATGTCCTTTGAAGCCTTAAAGCCAGGCATCAACTCCTCTCTAGCTGGGAACATCCTGGATGGCATCTCCTTCTAGTAGAAGGCTGTTTTGTCTCCATTGCAAATCTGTTTAGTGTAGCCATCTTAATCAATTATCTTCTAGATAGCTTTCTGCAGTTTTTCCATCAGTACTTGCTGCTTTATCTTGCGCTTTTATGTTATGGAGATGACTTTTTTCCTTAAACCTCAAGAAACAAGCTCTTCTAGCTTCAGACTTTTCTTCTGCAGCTGCCTCACCTCTCTAAGTCTTCATAGAATTGAAGGGAGACCGGGTGCGGTGGCTGTCACACCTGTAATCCTAGCACTTTGGGAGGCCGAGGCGGGCAGATCACCTGAGGTCGGGAGTTCGACACCAGTCTGACCAACGTGGAGAAACCCCGTCTCTACTAAAAATACAAAAAATTAGCCAGGCGTGGTGGTGCATGCCTGTAATCCCAGCTACTCGGGATGCTGAGGCAGGAGAATGGCTTGAACTTGGGAGGCAGAGGTTGCGATGAGCCAAGATCACGCCATTGTACTCCAGCTTGGGCAAGAAGAATGAAACTCTGTCTCAAAAACAAAGAAAAAAAGTAAAAAGAGAGTTAGGCTTAGGCTTAATGGAATTTTTTTTGTTTTTTTTTATCTTCTATCTAGACCAATTAAACTTTCTTCATAACAGCAGCAAGATTGTTTAGCTTTTTATCATTCATGTATTCACTGGAGTAGTACTTTAAATTTCTTTCCAGAACACTTCCTTTGCATTCACAACTTGGTTAAGTGTTTGTTGCATGAGGTCTAGCTACTGGCCTGTCTTGCTTACAGCATGCCTTCATCACTAAGCTTAATTATTTCTTCCTTTTGGTTTAAAGTGACAGACATGCAACTCTTCTTTCACTTGAACATATAGAGGCTATTGTAGGGTTATTAATTGGCCACATTTTAATGTTAATAAAAGGAAGCCTGAGAAAAAGAGAGAGAAAGAGAAATGGCCCATTGGTGGGGCAGTCAGAACAAATGCATTTGTCAATTGTTTGCTGTCTTATCCTGGTGTGATTTGTGGTTCCCAAAACAATGACAACAGTAGCATTAAAGATCACTGATTACAGATCACTATAACCGATTCAATAATAAAAAGCTTAAAATACTGTGAGAATGACCGAAATGTGACACGGAGACGTGAAGTGAGCACGTGCTGTAGGAACAATGGTGCCAGTGAGACCTGCTTATTGCAGGGTGGCCACAAACCTTCAATATGTAAAACACATGGTCACAAAACACAATAAAGCAAAGTGCAGTGAAACAAGATGTGTCTGTCTTTTGATAGACTCTGACAATCTTTATCTTTGAATTGGTACATTCATACCATTAACATTCAAAGTGATTATTGATATCATTGGATTAATATCTACTATATTTGTTACTGTTTTCTATTCATTCTCCTCAGTCTCCATTCTTTTGTCTACCACTCTTTTTCTGCCTTTTGCAGTTTTCATTGATGATTTTAGATGACTACATTTTCCCTGTCTTTCTTAGCATGTACTTCTCTTTTTAAAACTTTTTTTTAACTAGTTGCCACAGAATTTGCAATATACATTTACAACCAATTCAAGTCCACTTTCAAATAACACTATCCCACTATCCCACAAATAAGACTACCTGCTTAACAAACAAAACACTTAATTCCTCAGTAACATTTACAACAAATTGAAGTCCACTTTCAAATAACGCTATCCCACTATCCCACAAATAAGACTACCTGCTTAACAAAGAACACACCTAATTCCTCAATATACATTTACAACCAATTCAAGTCCACTTTCAGATAACACTATCCCACTTCACGGGTGACTACCTGCTTAACAAAGAAAACACCTGATTCCTCTCTCCCATCCTTCCATTCCATTCCTTGTATTATTGTTCCTTATTTCACTTGTGTATAAGCATACATAATCTATCTGTGTGTATTTATTATTATCTACAAACTTATTGGTCAGATCAATTTTGAATAAATACATGTTTTTATTGTACCACAATTCCTCCCTCCCATCCTTCCATTCCATTCCTTGTATTAGTGTTACTCATTTAACTTGTGTATAAGCATACATAATCTATCTGTGTGTATTTGTTATTGTCTATGAACTTCTTGGTCAGATCAATTAAGAATAAATACATAGGTTTTTATTGTACCACAATTCTTTAATGCTCTTTTTAAAAAAATGTTGATCCAGGTTTCAGTTATATATCTTTTGTTTCCCTCTAAAGAATTTCATTTAACATTTCTTGCAAGACAGGTCTCCTGGCAACAAGTTTCTTGAATTTTTATTTTTCTGAGGAAGGCCTTAATTCTCCTTCACTTTTGAAGGGTGGTTTCAGTGGGTACAGAAACTTAGGTTGGTGGGTTTTTTTCTGTCAACATTTTGAATTTTTCATTTCACTGTCTTCTTGCTTTCACAGTTTCTGCATTGTTGAATGCAGTTCTTATCTTTGTGTCTCTGTAGGTAAGGTGTTTTCTGCCCCACCTCTGGTTTCTTTCAGAGTTTTCCTTTATCTTTTATTTCATATAGTTTGAAAATTATATGTCCAAGTGTAGGTTGTTGGCATTTATTCTGCCTGGTGTTCTCTGAGCTTCCTGGATCTTTGGTTTGGTGTCTGACATTAATACTGGAAGTTCTCAGACATGGTTGTTGCAGAACTTTCTTCTATTTCTTCTCCTCCTGGTATTCTCATTACTCTGTTTCACCTTTTGTAGTTGTCCCACAGTCTTGGATATCATCTTCTGTTCTTTTCAGTGTTTCTTTTCTTTAGTTTTCGAAGTTTCTGATGATAAATCCTCAAGCTCAGAGATTCTTAACTCAGCTGAGTCCAGTCTACTAATAAGCCATCAGAGGTATTCTTCAGTTATTTACCACATTTTTTACCACTACATTATGTTGAAGTTTCTTACGATGTCTGTCTTTCTGATTACATTACCCATCTACACTTGAATGCTGTCTACTTCATTCATTAGGCCCTTAGCATATTCTCCAGAGGTTTAAAAAAAATTCCAAAATCATATCTTTGTCTGCTTCTGAAGCTTGCTCTGTTGACACAAATTGTATTTTTTTCTTTTTTTGGATTTTAGTATGCCTTGCAATTTTTTCCCTTTATTCTCATGCATGAAGCACCCACTAAAGGTGACTGCTGTTAGTATACCTTTAGTAATGCGGTGATGAGGTGACAGGGCAGGTGATGCTCTCTTAGTCTCTTTAGGCTACTATAACAAAATACTTTAGACTGAGTAATTCATAAACAACAGAGATTATTGCTCACAGATCTGGAGGCTGGAAAGTCCAAGACTAAAGGGGCAGGATATTTAGTGTTTGGTGAAGGTCAAACATTCAGACACTCGCAACGACTATAGTGACAGCAGCAGTCTTCAGGAATCCTATGTGAGGGAAAAACATTCAGACCACAGCAGGAGTGCTCGGGAATCCTATGTGAGGGACAAACATTCAGATCACAGCAGGAGTGTTGTGGAATCCTATGTGAGGGGAAAACTTTCAAACCCTTGTAGCAGTGTTCTGCAATCCTATGTGAGGGGCAAAAATTCAGAACCTCGTAGCAGTGTTCTGGAATCCTATTTGAGGAACAATCAGACCACAGCAGGAATGTTCTGGAATCCTATGTGAGGGGCAAACATTCAGACCACAGCAGGAGTGCTCTGTAATCCTATGTGAGGGACAAACATTTCAAAACCTTGTAGCAGTGTGCTGGAATGTTATGTCAGGGACAGACATTTAGACCCTCACAGCAGTGTTCTAGAATCCCATCTGCGGGACAAACATTCAGACACTCGCAGCAGTGTTCTGGAATTCTATGTGAGGGACAGACATTCAAACCCCAACAGCAGTGTTCTAGAATCCTATCTGAGGGACAGACGTTCAGACCCCAGCAGCAGTGTTCTGGAATCCTATGTGAGGTACAAACATTCAGACACCAGCAGAAGTGTTCTGGAATCCTATGTGAGGGACAAACATTCAGACCCTCGTAGCACTGTTCTGGAATCCTATGTGAGGTACAAACATTCAGACCACGACAACAATGCTCAGGAATCCTATGTGAGGGACAAACATTCAGACCCTCGTAGCACTGTTCTGGAATCCTATGTGAGGTACAAACATTCAGACCACGGCAACAATGCTCAGGAATCCTATGTGAGGGACAAACATTCAGACCCTCGTAGCAGTGTTCTGGAATCTTATGTGAGGGACAAACATTCAAACCACAGCAGCAGTGTTCTGGAATCCTACGTGAAGGACAAACTTTCAGACCACAGCAGGAGAGTTCTGGAATCCTATGTGAGGGACAAACTTTCAGACCAAAGCAGGAGTGTTCTTAAATCCTATATGAAGAACAAACATTCAGACCCCAGGAGCACTGTTCTGAAATCCTATGATAAGGGCAAACATTCAGACCCCAACATGAATGTTCTGGAATCCTATGTGAGGGACAAGCATTAAGACCATAGCAGGAGTATTCTGGAATCCTATGTGAGGGACAAACATTCAGACCCTCGTAGCAGTGTTCTGGAATCCTATGTGAGGGAGAAGCATTCAGAGCACAGCAGGAGTGCCCTGAAATCCTATGTTAGGGATAAACATTCAGAACCTCATAACATTGTTCAGGAAACCTATGTGAGGGACAGACATTTAGACCCTCGCAGCAGTGTTCTGGAATCCCATGTGAGGGTCAAACATTCAGATCCTCACAGCAGTGTTCTGGAATTCTATGTGAGTGACAAACTTCCAGACTCCAGCAGCAGTGTTCTGTATTCCTATGTGAAGGACAAACATTCAGAATTCAGGAGCAGTGTTTTGAAATCTTATGTTAAGGGCAAACATACAGACCCTAGCATCAATGTTCTAGAATCATATGTGAGGGACAGACATTCAGACCCTCGCAGCAGTGTTCTGGAATCCTAGTTGGGGGACAAACATTCAGACCCCAGCAGCAGGCTTCTGGAATCCTATGTGGGGGACAAACATTCAGACAATGGCAGCAGTGTTCTGGAATCCTATGTGAGGGACAAACACTCAGAGCCTTGTAGCAGTGTTCTGGAATCCTATGTGAGTGAGAGTGCCTGGAGCCTACCCAACCTGACGCCCCCAAAGCCCTCACAGGGTCTGACCTCCCAGCATGCACCTGCCTCTCCCTGAACCCCAACTGCCCACCCTGCCTGTTCCCTGGCCTCCTTCATCCTGTGCAGCCCATAGACTGTGACCATCTCTGCAGCCACTCTGGCCCTTCCTTTACCTTTGTCCTGTCAGAATCTCTGAGCAGGATCTCCCAGGTCCATCCAAACACGTGCTTTGTCCACTTTTGACTAGGCCCTTGGGCATCACTGGGCTATCCCAGCTGTCCACAGGGCCTTCAATAATGCACATTGCACCTGGCTTATCCAAGCAGTGCTCAGCAGCCCACATTGACCAGGTCCCTGCTGACCAGACCCCACACATCAGGTCCTCCCTGATGACACCCTCACTGATTAGACCCTCATGACCAGGCCCCACTCACAAGGCCCCCACTGCCGGGCACACAATGACAAGGACTCCACCGACCAGGACCTTACTGACATGGCCTCACGGACCAAGTCCTTACTAACAAGTCCTCACTGACTAGGTCATTATTGACAAGGCCTCACTGATCAGGTTCCACTGATCATGACCTCATTCCCTGGCCCCAGAGATGAGGCTCCACTGACCAGGCCTCCAGGGAACAGGTTGCCACTGATCAGGCCCCTAATAACCAGGCCTAAGATCACCAGATGCCCCTGACTGGGACCCTAGTGAGTAGACCCCACTGAACTGGCACCAAATGCTGAGATCCCCGCTGACCAGGTCACCCTGTAGATCAGTGCTACAAAAGTCACCACTGACCAAGTCCTCTCTGACCAGGACACTACAGATTAGGTCCCGCTGACAAGGCTGCCCTGACCAGGGCCCCACTGACAAGGGCCTCACTGATGAGGACACGCCCACCAGGGTCTGCTGACTAGGTCCCATGTGCCCAGTCCTCCACTGAATAGCACCCCTTGACCTGGTCACCAGTGCCCCAGCCCATGCTGACCAGGCCAGCACTAACCCCAGCTGACCAGGTCTCCACTGATCAAGCCCCACAGCCCAGGTTTGCACTGACCAGACACCAAACAACTGGCAGCCAATAGGTCGCCACTCACCAAAACCCCCACTACTAGACCCCACTAATGAGACCCTCTTTAAGCAGACGCCTGCTGACCACGATCCCACTAAATAGTCCTCACTGACCTAGGTCCACTGACCAGGCCCACACTGATCAGGCCCCTCCTAACCACACCGGAAATCCAAGCGGCAATGACATGTTTCATATGGCAAAAGTTGGAACAAGACAGAGAGACGAAAGAGGTTCCACAGCCTTTTAAACTACTAGATCTCATGAGAACTCACTATCAGGAGGATGGCATTAAGGGCTTGGTGCTTTGCCATTTGTGAAGGATCCACTCCCACACCTTTATGATTAAAGCTTTTTCCACCTAGGCCCCGACTCTAACATTAGGGAGTGTACTTTCACATGAGCTTTGGAAGGGGCATAGAGAAAAACCGTATTATTCTGTCCCTGACCCCACAAATCTCATGTCCTTCTCACATTGCAAAATACAGTCATGCCTTGCCAGCAGTCTCCCAAATTCTTAACTCATTTCAGCATTAACTCAAAGTTACAAAGTCCAAAGTCTCATCTGGGTCAAGGCTACATTCTCTTTTGCCTACGAGTCTCTGAAATAAAAAGCAAGTTCACTGTGTCTAAGGTACAATGATGGTACAGGCATTTTGTAAGCTTTCCATATCCAAAAGGGAGACATTTTCCAGAAACCTTCTTATTTTTATCTGAGGCCCCCTCAGCCTGGCCTTCACTGTCCATGTTTTTGTCAGCATTCTTGTCACTGCCATTTAACCAGTCTCTAAGATGGTCCAAAAATGTTCTCATCTGTCTGTCTTCTTTGGAGCCCTCCAAACTCTTCCAACCTCTACCCATTACCCAGTTCCGAAGTTGCTTCCACATTTTCAGGTATCTTTATAGCAATGCTCCAGTCCTCATTTGCCATTTTTGGTAAGATTTATTTTGAAAAAGAGGTTTAATTGGCTCATGGTTCTGCAGAGTGGACAGGAAGCTTAGTGCTTCTGCTTCTGGGGGGCCTCAGAAATCTTTCAATCATTGTGCAAGGTAATGAAAGAGTGAATTGTCTCATATGGCAAGAGGAAATCACGGAGAGTAGGGAGTGATATAGAGTTTTCAGTGGCCAGATCTCACGAGAATTCACTCATGATTGTGAGGAGAGTACCAAGGGGATAGTGCTGAACCACTCATGAGAAATTTGCCTTCATGATTCAATCACCTTATACCAGGATCCACCTCCAACATTAGGAAGCATAACTCAACATGAGATTTGGTGGGGACACATATTCGAATTGCCTCATCAGTCTTTGAGTATAAAGACATCCATAGCAGGCTTTATCCAGCCAGCTTCTTTGGGATTCTTTATAGGGTTTCAGGTCTATAGCATATCCACTAAAATATTCCTACTTCAAAAGGCAATAAAGTAAGTGGTATTACCATTCTTCAAAAAGTTATAATGGTAGTGTAGGCATTCATAGTATGATTTAGTTCATTTGCTACTGTTTCTATTCTATCACCATATTAACACTTTCGTACACAATTCTATATTCAGCTGGGTTTCAGTTGAGCACAAAGTCATCCTTGTACTACCACCGATAGCTGGCACTAGCTCTTTGATACTGTTATCATTCTGCTGTAGAAAGTACCCGTGAACTGGAAAAAGTCCACAATCGAATAGCTAGTCATTCAACACTATCAAATTTTAGGTGACTTTTTGAAAAAATAGTATCTCTTGTTGCAAGAAATGGTCCATCTGTGATTTCAAGTCTCTCGCTTGAGTGAATTGGATGGAAGTGGTGAATTTCAGCCAAAGTGGCCAAAGAAATCCTGTTCCTGTGATAATGACGCCATCAGCCTCTGCATCTCTGTCTTCCCTTCTGCCACATGTTGCCTGTTCTCCGTGACTTTGGTAAGAGCTTCCTTGTGTATGAGGATGATGTCCAGGATGTTGGTCTGGTGTCCCTGAGACAGCACTAACAGGTCCATGGCTGGGTCCAGGTCATTCCTGGACTCATTGTCAAAGAGCTTACTGATGTTCTTGAAGGCATCTCTGGTGAAGTGGATGGCCTAGTCAAGTTCCAAGGCCTGGCTGAAGCTGAAGAAAAACTGGCCACCTTCTGATGCTCTTTTTAAAAGCCTGTCACTGTCATCTGCTTGCTTGTCAACTCATTGGCTGTGAGGATGAGCTGAGTGGCCTGTGTCCATCTTCTTGGGGAAGCATTTGAAGCCATCAGTCTTGCTCTCCCACCCCTAAAGGTTGAGGGTCACCACCTGGGGTTGTGCTGAGGGTCAGAAAGAAGCCAGCACTCACTATCTCATCCTTCTCAGCCTTCCTCTTGCACTCTCTCCAGGCTGTCTCTTCAGTGTTGGTGGGATACGTCAGAAAGCGATGGAAGATGTGGCACTGTGCCCAGACCCAGAAGCTGGCCATGTGGTTGGCTTATCCACCAGAATGGATGCTCTGGGTGCTCTTTAAGCCAGCTTTGCCTAGCCTGGCATGCACAGGCCCCAGGTTCCGACATGTTGCTCTGAGTGAGCTTGTCCTGCCTTGGGCCAAATTCTGTCAGGCCAGGGCCACAAAAGGCCGAGTCCCACGGGTGGTAATCCTGGCTGCTTTCTGCACTTCCACATAAAGACCTCCTGAAGATGGCCTGTGGTCTACCTCTTTGCAACCAAGAAGCCCGCAGTGCCATATGAACCCTCAGGCATGGACTGGAGCCCCCGAGGAAGCACACACTCTGCTCCTGAGCCTGCTGCTCATTTTCTCTGTGTGGCTCCATTTGTGTCACAGTTGTTGCACAGACTTGTGCATGCCGGGCAAGGCCAAGCTGGCTCAAAAAGCAACCGGCCACCTCTGCAAGGTTGTGCCAGGAGCCGGTGGACCAGCCACCAACCTCACTTGCTGCCGGTCAGCTTACATCAGTTCTTCTACCCTAGAGGTAGGGCCCCAGTGCCATATGCTTTTCCTCAGGCCTCTGCTCTATCAGTCATCAGGCAGCAACCACTCAGGCTGTGGGAACCTGGCCATCCCTCCTTCCTTGAGTAGCTGAGGTTGCTGGCTTGTCTGCCTGCTACAGGTGCAGCCTTGCAGATGTGGCTAGTTGCTCTGAGCCAGCTTGGCCTTGCCTGGCATGCATAGGTCCCAGGTACTGACACTCTGCACCGAGTCAGCTTGTCCTGCCTTGGGTCAAATTCTAAGTCTGGCCAGGGCCACAGAAGGCCCAGTCCCCTGGGTGCTAATCTTGGCTGCTTTCTGCACTTGAACATAAAGTCCTCCTCAAGAAAGCCTGTGGTCTGCCTGTTGGCGACCAAGAAACCTACAGTGCCATACGAGCCCTGAGGCATGGACTGGAGCCACAAAGGCAGTGCACGCCCCGTTCCTGAGCCTGCTGATCATTTCCTCTATATGGCTCCATTTGTAGCACACTTGTTGCAGCGAGGCTTGTGTATGCCAGGCAAGGCCAAGCTGGCTCAAAGAGCAAGCAGCCACCTCTGCAAGGGTGTAACAGGAGCAGATGGACCAGCCGCCAACCTCACTCACTGCCAGACGTGGTACATCAGTTCTTCTATCCTAAAGGTGGGGCCAAGAGGCAGACCACAGGCCGTCTTGAGGAGGACTTTATGTTCAAGTGCAGAAAGCAGGCAGGATTACCACCCTGGGGACTCACCCTTCTGTGGCCCACAGTGCCATATGAGCCCTGAGGCATGGACTGGTGCCATCTTCTTTATACAAAAATTAACTTAAGATGGATTAAAGAGTTAAATATGCCACCTGCTTTTCCTCAGGTCTCTGCTCCATCAGCCATCAGGAGGCAGCCACTCAGGCTGTGGAAACCTGGCCATCCTGGCTTCTTTCAGTGGGTGAGGTTGGTGGCTGGTCCACCTGCTCCAGGCACACCCTTGCAGAGGTGGCTGCTTGCTCTTTGAGCCAGCTTGGCCTTGCCTCGCATGCCCAGGCCCCACCTACTGACACACTGCTCTGAGTGACCTTGTCCTGCCTTGGGCCAAATTCTGTCAGGCCAGGGCCACAGAAGACCGAGTCCCCTGGGTGGTAATCCTGGCTGCTTTCTGCACTTGTACATAAAGTCTTCCTCAAGACGGCCTGTGGTCTGCCTCTTGGCAACAAAGAAGCCTGCAGTGCCATAGGAGCCCTGAGGCATGCACTGGAGCCCCAAAGTCAGTGCACACCCTGCTCCTGAGCCTCCTTCTCCTTTCCTATATATGGCTCCATTTGTAGCACGGTTGTTGCACCGAGGCTTGTGCATGCCAGGCAAGGCCAAGCTGGCTCAAAGAGCAACCGGTCACCTCTGCAAGGGTGTGCCAGGAACAGGTGGGCCAATCACCAACCTCACATGCTGCCAGTCACAGTACATCAGTTCTTCTGCCCTAGAGTTAGGGCCCCAGTGCCATCTGCTTTTCCTCAGGACTCTGCTCCATCAGCCATCAGGTGGCAGCTACTCATGCTGTTGGAACCTGGCCATCTGGGCTTCCTTGAGTGGGTGAGGTTGCTGGCTTGTCCACCTGCTTAAAGGTACTATGGGGATAGAACACAAATAATAATAATGCATTTTTCAAACAAATTAATTCCTTGATTTTCAAACAAATTGAAGACAAAGGAAACTCATGATTCAAATGAATACATATGGCTCATTTTATTCAATATTTATGCTTACAGAATATATGTAAATAAGACATTCCCATGATTAATATTAGTATTTAAGACTGATAACCTTTTGGGTGGGCAGTTAAAGCTTATCTTCTACTATTTTCTAACTTCAGAAATGCTTTTGTTTGAAAGTTGGGTGACAAAGTTTCAAGGAGATTAAGTCCCAATATTCCTATTTTAAATCTCTCAGCTTGTGCAGCAGGGCAGGTAAACATGAAGTTTTTAAGGATAGAAGGGACCTGAGAGATAGCAGAATATGTCTGCTACATAACAGGTACTCAGGTTATGTTTGATGAATAAATGGAATGAAAGAATGGAAAAATACAGTTGGGGAGTTCAATATTTTTAAATAAACTCCTATAAAGCAATATTTTTGCAATAGTAATATTTATATGTTATTTTTATTTAAGAATACAATTAAAATGAAATGATTAATCTATCATTGTTTGCATAAATTGAATGAATACATAAGAAAAACATATGTACATAATAAAATATATAGATAATGAAATCTGGAAACATAAAAATATTCCCTTTTTACTTCTGAAGAGGCTAAAAGTTCAAAGAAGATAACAATACACTCAATAATGATAAAAAATAGAAAGTGAGAAATTATTTTTAATATTGTAAGATTCATATTCCTGTCTTCCCAAGGATTATTTATTTATTAATAAACTTTACTAGAAGTTTTGTACATGCTCACTGCAGCAATCACAGATAAGAAAAAGGAAAAGAACTTTACTTAAAATACAAATGCTCAGAAATTACAAATTTTATATTTTGTACATATTTTTTGATAAAACAAGACCATAGTATGTTTGTATGTATAACTTAATTGATTTTTTTCTCACTAGCTATAACAAAATACATCTTCGCACATCAATATACTTCTGTATCTATTGCCACCTTCAATGGTCACATATTATTCCATCCTGTGGATGCAACTGAAGTTTATTTATAGGATCCACTCTTTGGGTTCTTTTTAAAATAAGTGAGGTGAAAAATAAAGTGCATGTATCTTTATTTCCTAAGGGTGTTTTAGTATAATGGAATTGATGGGTAAAGGGCATACATATTTTTTAATTGTAGTACTTACCACCAAATTATCTATTTGAAAAGTAATCAGCAACTTAAACTTTAAGCAGGAGTATAAAACATCCTCACAAATATTGTGGATAGAAAACTGTTTCATTCCTCTTTTAATTTAAATTCTTATGCCAGAAATGCGAAGGACTTTTTCCTATGTACACAAGTAACTTGCAGATCTGGAGAAGTGTACTTTGCCCAATTTTAGAGTGTTTGATGATTTGATTTGAAAGAATTCCCTGTCAAATGAAAATGTACTTTTCATCTAATGTGTATATATAACTGATATATATGACATATTATATCTGGTATATATGTATACGTATCAGTAATATATATATATATATATATATATATATATATATATATATATAACTTATGATATATAATAAACAACATAGGCTGGGCACGGTGGCTCACACCTTTAATCCCAGCACTTTGGGAGGCGGAGGCGGGCAGATCACTTGAGGTCAGGAGTTCGAGACCAGTCTGGCCAACGTGGTGAAACCCCGTCTACTAAATATACAAAAATTAGCCAGGCACGCTGGCACCTGCCTATAATCCAAGCTACTTGGAAGGCTGAGGTAGGAGAATTGCTTGAACCCAGCAGGCAGAGGTTGCAGTGAGCCAAGATTGTGCCATTGGACACCAGCCTGGGCAAAGAAGCGAGACTCCAACTCAAAAAAAAAAAAGAATATAATGAATTCCCTATAAAATGAAAACATACTTTTCATCTGAAAATACATATATATATATATAATATAGTAAATATTTTTCAAGTAAGCTCTCTTATCTGAGAACTTTTTGCCTACTGAAATAACTCACGGTATTTTTGATAGGGGAAAGAGTTCTCTCATTAGGCACCTCCTATAATGTATATAAACCATGTTTTCAACGTGTACTTTAAAAATAACAACACTGTGTTTGCTTAACTTTGTGAGTTAAATCACTCAAATTCTCCAACTGCTCCAGCCATGGAATTATGAGGGATGGAAAACAGCTGAGAGTCCGTTTGGCTCCGCTGCTCTGAGGGTGCCCAGAGCCCTGAAAGGCCCCGTCCCAGGGGCAGTGGGGAAGCCGGGCCTGGGGACCCCCTCCCACCCCGGGCTGAGTCCCCGCTACCTGTGCTGCTTGTCCAGGGCATCCAGGTCTCCGCTCCTGCGCGCCAGGCAGCGCTCCACCCCCACGGCGTCGCCCTTGACAGCTGCCCTGTGGATCTTCTGCAGTTCGGAGTCCCGGATTCGGTATCCGGAACCCGTGTAGACATGTTCTATGGAGCCGTGGGCCGTCTGGCCCCTGCGGCTCCCGAAGCCGAATAACTTCATAGTGGTGACTTCTCAGAAACCCCAACCTCCGGCTCTTGAGCGGGGGCAGCTCCCTGTCACCTTTTCACCACCCCCCTCCCCCGACCCCGGCCGACCTCCCTGTCACCTTTTCACCCACCTCCTCTGCCGACCCCGGCCGACCCAGCCCCAAATCCCCTATCCAACCCCAAGTCCCTGATCCAACCCTCAATCCGCGATCAACCCCCAATGCGCGATCCCAAATCTGTGATCTACTCCACAGTCCGCGATCCAGCCCTGTCCACCACAGCCTTCAGCAGCGACACTCGCAGCCTCCGACCTCTCAGACCGAGTGAGCCTCGCAAAGCCGTTGGGCGCGCGCCTGCACCGCAGTTGCTGCCTGGCTCCCGGAAGCCCTTCCCTGGTGGCGCGCGCCGGCAGGTGGGGCTGCAGCTCTGGGCTGGCGCCGATGAGCTCGCAGGTCCTCTTGGGATCGCCCGGGCGGCCCCAGGATCGCAGGAGCGCCGCCAGCCTGGCCTGAGAAGGAGGGCCTGTCTGGCCTTGCAGCCCGCCCCGCTCCTCCTCGGAAGGGAGATAGGGTGCTGGCAAGGGCACTCCGCTGCCACCTGGGTGGCTTCGCAGATGGCCTGGCTTCACGCTGAGGCTCTGGCCCTGGAGTCTGTGTGGCTAGTGTCAGGTAGCTGTAGAGGCATGGAGGCAGAGTCAGGGGCTGCTCTTTCACCCACCAGCCCTCACTGCTGCCAGTGCCCCACGCACAGTTTGCAGCTGCAGATCTGGCACTGGCGTGGGACGGCGGAGCTTCCCTTGGATGGCCTCAGGGTCGCAGAGCGCACAGCCCACCTGGCCTCAAGTTCCGCTCTTCTTGGGCATCTCTCTGGATCCTGGGCCCGGGCGCTGGGCACTCTGTATCCACATGGATGAAACTGAGCGGCTGCTGGCGGGGCCCGTCGCCTGATTTTGCCGCCTGGGGGTCTGGCCTCAGGATCCACGCTACTGGGGGGCGGGCCTGGTCTGGGGTGTCCAGTCACTTACTGCCGGTGCACCACGTCTAGACTGCAGCTGCGGCTCCGATGTCGGCGTCAGCTGGCGGGCCTGGTACCTGATGTCCTCAGGGTCAAGTGCATCGCCCGCCCACTTGAGGGGTTGCTGTGACTTGGCCTCCTCCAAGAACTCAGGGGCCACCAGGGCTGGCTCTTTGTGGTAACCGGGATGGTATTGAGCAGCAGGTTTTCACCCTGGTGCCACTGCTGTGCGGACTGCCTGACTTGGGCGCCCAGGCACTGGCCTCAGGGTCCACGTGGCAGGTGTGTGTGCGGGTAGGGTGAGTGGCACGGAGGGTCAGGGGTTGCTCCGTCATCTCTGCCTGTGTGCAACTTGCAGTTTTGCAGTTTTCTGCAGCAGCTGAGGCGCTGGCGTGGGAAGGCGGAGCTCCCCTGGATGGCGTCAGGTTTGCAGGCACAGAGCACAGCCCAGGCCTGAGGGTCCGCTCAGGGGCCATGATGGCTGAGTTCTCCGTGGAAACTGGGATGGGGTGAACGGCCAGTTCCCGTCCTTTGGCCGCCTGGCCAACTACCAGACTTAGCCGCTGCCGCCCAGGCATCTGTCTCTGGGGTTGCCGCTACTTGGGTAGAAGTGGGGGTCGGGGTGGGGCATGGAGTGTCACCGGTTGCCAGGCCAGCACTGTCTTTGCAACATATTCAGATGGATGGCGGCGGGCAGCTCGGGCACCAGCATGGGCTGGCGGGGCTCCCCTGGAAGGCCCTCAGATCGCTCACAGCATTGTCCCAGGGCTTCCTCGGCCTGTGCCAGGTGAGCAAGGTAGGGGGGAGCTTCCAAGGCTTCTATCCCAACTCTACTTATTTCTAGCTATTTTCTCTTGAGTTATTTTGCGTCTATCTCAGTTTTATTTGCAAAAATAGTATATGCAAAATACATCTAGTGAATGTACATCAGGCATATAGAAGATCTGACAGAAACACGTTTTCTCATGCCCATTTCCATTCAGTATTTGAACACAGAGGCTTCCATCGTTTTGATTCTTTCCACAAAAGGATAGTTTTGTCTGTTTTCACCATTTACATAAGTGAAACTATAAATTATATAATTTTATGTTCATTCACTAAACATGCTTGTGACATCATTTTGCTCCTATTGATTATTCATTAATTTTATTTTGTAATACTCAATTTTATGACTATACCACAGGTTTGAGGCCTTTGCTTGTTTTGTTTATAATCCACTCCACTATTGATAGACACAAAAGCAGTTTCTAATTTGAGGCTATCATGAATAAACCTGCTACAAACAAATCAGATATACACATTTTTCTGTAATAATATTTTCACTTTTCTTGAGTTTAAGTACATAAGAGTGGATTCTCTGGGTTATAAAATAAGTATATATTTGGCATTGTATGAAATAGGGAGACATTTTCCTAAGTGGTTGTGCCATCTTAAACTACAATGAAAATGTTTGAGAGAATCAGTTCCACTTTCTAACCAATACTTGATGCTGTCAGTTGTTTTAGTGTTATCCATTCTTATGGGATATAACTGCTGAGTAGCTGTCTGCCTTCCCAATAACACAGAAAATTGAGGGCCCAGAGGACAGTTTTATTTTCATATTTGACATCTTCTATTATTTTTTATAGAAGGGTGATTTGGGTAGTAAAATTGTCTTTCAATTTTCTAGGTTGTCTCTGAATCTTACTGGGGCTCCTTGTCCTAAACCACATTCAGAAATTTTCATGACCAACTTCTTTTTATCTTTGTCATACCAGGCCAATGAGGTACTGCATTCCTGAGACTTTTTCAGTACTTTTTGTGTGTATGATTGTCTAATAATCATAGCCTTAAAACTTTCTGGCTGGGCATGGTGGCTCATGGCTGTAATCCCAGCACTTCGAGAGGCCAAGGCGGGTGGATCACCTGAGGTCAGGAGTTCAAGACCAGCCTGATCAACGTGGAGAAACCCCAACTCTACTAAAAATAAAAAATTAGCTGCACATGGTGGCACATGCCTGTAATCCCAGCTACTTGGGAGGCAGGAGCTACTTAGGCTGAGGCAGAAGAATCACTTGAACCCAGGAAGGGTTGTAGTTAGCCGAGATCACACCATTGCACTCCAGCCTGGGCAACAAGAGTGAAATTCCTTCTCAAAAAAGAAAGAAAGAAAGAAAGAAAGAATCTCAGGCTTCTGGGAGACACTGAATTTGTGAATGTGTACAGCATGTCACAATAACTTTTTTTTTTTGAGACCAAGTCTCACTCTGCTGCCCAAGCTGGAGTGCAGTGGTCCATCTCAGCTCACTGCAAATTCTGTCTCCTGGATTCAAGCAATTCTCCTGTCTTGGCCTCCCGAGTAGCTGGGATTACAGGTGCTGCAACCATGCCTGGCTAATTTTTGTATTTTTAGTAGAGACAGAGTTTCACATATTGGCCAGGCTGGTCTCAAACTCTTCACCTCAGATGATCCACCTGCCTCAGCCAATGGGTGGACTGTTAACTCAAAATACGCACATTGAATACTGAGGAAAATGTATAGCCATCATCACCAGCAGCTGAGATGCCAGTTGAGATACCAGAAATGCCCCAGCATGTAACTCCTCTTTTAATTCACACACACACACACAAACACACACACACACACACACACACACACACACACACACACACTCATGGTAACCAGTTCAGGATGGACAAAGAAACAGTCACAGTCTTTTTTGGGAACACACTCCCCTGTGACACTTAGATCCTAATGCTGACTCCAATTCCCTCCTGGGACCTCCCCTCTCCTTGCGGCATGCTGGGCTTTCCCTTAGAAAACCCCATGTCATTTCCTTCAATGGAACATGAATCAGCTTCACCCACAGTGTCTGCATGTCTCTGTCCATAGCAAACGTTTTTATTACCTTAAAATATAGATCTTTACCTTAACTAGCCAAGACCTAGGACCCTTTTTCCAAGCTCTTTTAGATGAAGTAATAAATGCAAATATTAGAGATGTGTATATGTGTATAAATATATGGAGAAAAGATGTTGCCTAGTTGTACAAATTAGCTTTAATACAACTCCTGATTTAAATTATTTAATTGTGAGAAGGGCGATTCTAACTCAACACACCAACGAAATAAAAGCCTTATCCCTCTGCTCCGCCAAAATATCCCATTTAGAGCCTGCGTGTGTGTGTACACACACGTGTGCACTCATCCCCACCTGACCGTATCAAATTATTATTTAAACTAGATATTTTTACTTTGTTGCATAGTAGTAATGGTTTCTGGAATGAAAAAATAAAAAACAGGAGAATAAAACTGTTTAAATGTATCTCCGGGTGAACGCTGTGGCCACTGCACGGACCCCGTCGATGGCGCCCAGTACCTGCGTCTCAGGAAGAGGTTCTGGCGGGGCCTCCGCCTGAGGCCGCGCCCCTGGGACCTGTCCCGCGTCCACGTGAATGCGGAGCGCAGCATTCACCATCCCCTCCCTGAAACAGCGGTCCCCGAGGTGCTCCACAGGCAGGGCCGAGCTGGGCAAGGGGGAGCCCAGCCCCTGCACGGGCCGCCCTGAGCAGCGGGGACGCAGGAAGAGCTCGCTGGCTCCACCAGCCCCTACCCCAGATGCGGGACCTCAGACCAGCAAGGACCTGGAGCCCCCACCCCACGGTTGCCAGGAGGCGGACAGGGGCGGCTCCTGGGGGGCTACCACCTCGAGGCCGTTCCGCCAGAACTTGAGCGACTTGGGAAGGCACAGTGTCCTGCCCTTGAAGAGGAACCTGTGTCCTGGAGGCAGCAGCCTGGGAGCTCCTCCTCTGAGGACACCGCAGAGGCGAGTGACTCTGGCGGCGCAGCGCTGGCTTTCCCGTCCGCAGAGGAGAGCTGTGGGGCTGGGTGAGCTGGACCAGGGAGCACAGCTGGCTGCTCTCGGCCTCCGATGGGGAGTGGACAGCTTAGGGGGTTGCCCCCGTGCCAGCCAGCCTGCTGGCCACTCTGGGCTTCATCACACCCTCACCTGCCTGCGCAGGCACCTAGCACTGCAGGCTGGAGCTTCTGGCCATGCTGGTCAACTTCCCCAACGAGCCTCTGCTGCCTGGGAACAGCAAGGCCAGAGCTACACCGCCCTGCACTTGGCAGCCATGTACCTTGGAGATGGTGAAGCTGCTAGTGGGAACATAGGACGCCGATGTTGACATCAGGGACTACACTGGGAAAAGGGCCTCCCAGCATGTGAGTCAGAGCATCACAGAAGAGATTGAGACCCTGATGGGAGTCCTGGACAAGGACGATGGGGAGAGCACCGCCAGCAGCGGGGGTGAGTACTGGAAGATTTAAAAGCTGCCCCCTCCATCTCACCACCTACAAACTCTCACACGTCCTGGAAGATGGGGGGACCCTCTCCACCATCACCACTTGGCTGAAGGTGGTCCAGACGTGAAGCCAAGGATTCCAAGGCGCACAGCCTCGGGCAGGACTAATGGACTTAAAAAACACAGGCTCAACAAAATCCACTTCACAACCCAGATGGTTCATATCACACCCTCTTTCAAGGACCCAGAGCAGCCACTGGAAGAGAAGGAGTAGGAACGCTCTCTTAAAGTCCACTTATCCTATTCCTTCAAATTAAGACCAAAGTCCAATGTATTTAGGTAAAAAATAATTTCTTTTAGAAAATGCTAAGGTTTGTCTTCTGAAATTTAATAACAGAAACAAAAAAAGAACACTAGATGTAATGAAGTGAGACCAGAAAAGACAAACTAAACTATCCTTACTAGGTTGGAATGGATGGGGTGGAGTTCCTATCAGGCTAGCATTCTGGGGAAAGCTGTATTTTTTTTTTTTGGCGGTGGGGGGAAGGTGTCTCACTCTGTCGCCCAGGCTGGAATGCAGTGGCGCCATCTCCGCTCACTGCAAGCTCAGCCCCTCGGGTTTATGCCATTCTCCAGCCCCAGCCTCCCAGTAGCTGGGACTACAGGCGTCCGCCACCACACACGGCTAATTTTTTTGTATTTTTAGTTGAGACGGTGTTTCACCGTGTTCTCCAGGATGGTCTCGATTCCTGAATTCGTGATCCGCCCGCCTCTGCCTCCCAAAGTGCTGGGATTACAGGCGTGAGCCACTGCGCCTGGCCGGATTTCTTTTTAAGAGATTCATCATACCTTGACCTGTGCCCCATTTCCCTCCTCCACCTGTCTGACCTGGCATTCCTATTTCGGGAGACCAGAAGTGGGGGGAAGAGAAGGGATGACTGTTTCTTTGCTTTCACCATTCCTGCATGCCATGCAAAGGAAGGAATATTGCGCTTTTAAATATCCGTTTTATTAAGTAAGTGGTTACTCTTTCAAAGACAAAAAAAATGCAAATTGTTACAAAACTGGCAGTATTTGTAAGTGCAAGCACTACACGCTGCCTTGTTCTTTTACCAATTGCATTTGCATTTTAAGGTACTACTTGTACAGCCATGGTGGAGAACAGTTTGGAGGTTCCTCTAAACACTGAAAATAGAGGTGCCACATGATCCAGCAATCCCACTGTTGGATATATACCCCAGAAATAAGAAATGAGTATATCGAAGAAATTATCTGCACTCCCATGTTGGTTGCACCACTGTTGACAATAGCTAAGATTTGGAAGCAACCTAAGTGTCCATCAACAGATTAATGTATTAAAGAAAATGTGGTAGATACACACAGTGGAGTATTATTCAGCCCTAAAAAAGAATGAGATTCAGTCATTTGCAACAACATGGAAGGAACTGGATATCATTATGTTAAGGGAAATAAGCCAAGCACGGAAAGGCAGACATTGCATGTTCTCACTTATTTGTGGGATCTAAAAATCAAAACAATTGAACTCATGGACATAGTAAGTACTAGGGGGCTGGGGGGGGAGACAGGGCACGGGTAATGGGTACAAAAATAGGCAGAAGGAATGAATAAGACATACTATTTGATAGCACAACAGGGGGACTCTAGTCAATAATTGTACATTTAAAAATAACTAAAAGAATCTAATTGGATTGTAACACAAAGGAAACATGCTTAAAGGGATGGATACCCACTCTCCATGATGTGATTAGTTCATGCTGCATGCCTGTATCAAAACATCTCATGCACCCCATAAATATATATGCTTATTATATACTCACAAAAATGCTTGAAAATAAAAATAAAGGAACTACTGAAGGTCAGGTCAGAGTGGAAATGTAAAAATACTAATTAGAGAATAATGTGAATACAACAGGAATCCTGTTGGTATTCTATTTATATTGTAAGCAGCAGTTCAATTGTTTTGAAAAAGTAATTTCAATTTTAATCACTGAACTAAAGAAATGGGCAAGGCTGACTTCCGTAATATAGGTTCTACCTAACCATCTCTAACACCGCTGTCAAGGAGGACCAGTGTTAAGGTACATTACTAACAACCACACAAATTTTTAAAAGAAAAGAACACTCTTAGCAGCCTATGGTACTTTGAAATGAAATATTGCCTCTCATTCTCACTTGTGTTGCCATTCCAAAAGTATGAATTTGCTGAGGTTTATATTCTGGGTATTATATAACCATTGGTTCTGTTTGGCATAACCCTATTAAATGGTGCGCAGAGCTGAATTACCTACAGAAACTTTCTGGTTTAATTAGCATAAATTGGTATAAATATTAGTGAGCCCATACTTCTGTGATATAATTAAACCAACTTAATGATTCTCACATAAGGTGTCAATTTATTTTACTAATGCATTCATAATCTATGCTTTGTAGCAACATTTTTCAAATGTTTAAAATGCTAAATCTTCTCAATTTTCCAATCTTTTCTTGAATCTATTAGATACCTATAGTGTAGTTACTGAATAGCTGGGAAACAAATACACCTAGTTAGAAATGGCACTGCTTTATAAAAGGCACTAGAGAAAAGACGAGACTATTCCTATATTTAAATGCTGCTGGCAAGTGAATTCCTTGTATATAAATGAAAGATACCATTCATTAAAATGAAAGACTTGTTTTAAGTGTGATTCTTACATTTCATTCATTTATGATAGAGTAAATGGCTTTATAATTACTTTAAAATTTAACTCACTAGTACATTAAATCTGTTCATTGCAAGATTAGAATCAACTGTGAGGGGAACTAATTTAAACAAGCCCTTCCTTAGTCTTATTGAGTCTCATATTTGCTGAAAGTACCTACAGCTTGCAGGATAAGGGAGTTCACGGACCATAGGGTGAGTGAACCCATGCACAAATTGCAAACTGCCCAGAGCTACTACATTTAGGATTTTTAGACCTTTAATTTTCCAAGTCATAGAAATGTGTTACAGGTTCATCACATCTTTGTCTACATGGCAACTGAATTTCTTTAAAGATAGGTTAAAAAAAGGCATAAAACTATGAATTATTATCCATTTGTGTGCCTCTATTTTTGCTTTAGAATTATGGAAATGGACCCTGTGAATTTGGGAAACACTGTTATGTATACACATGGGTGAAAAACAATCTAACATTGTGTAAATTAAAATACTTTTTTTGAAGTTGAAAAACATCCATTTGTTCTAAATCTATATATATTACGAGTATCTAGTACAGAATAAGGTGTAACTTCTCATTGAGTAATCTTAGGTTTTACAGATATGTAAAGCTGAAGCAACTCTAAAGAGTAGACACTTCAGAACAGGAAGGTTCTGGTCAATGTTGAGAGTAGACACTTTCACTGAAGGTTCTGGTGAAATGTGGGTAACTAATTGCTTGAAATCTATAATTTGCTATATAGTTAACTATTAAGTTAAAATGTCATTTACCATGCCTTTTACACTAAAAGCTTTAACTTTTCTGAGAAAATAATATTTTAAATGTTCAATTATTTCTTCTGAGGAAAGCTACTTCTAGCATTCTTTGTCATGATGTGCTTGTGTGCAGTAAGCAGAGCATTTTCAGCCACTTACCTCTACAATGTTCCTGTTTTTCAATTTCTGATTTAGATTATAAAAGGCAAATGATTAATTTAATTTGATACTCAGAGTTGTGTTTACTTTTAATGGACAAATATATGTCAGATACTTTGATGTTTATTGATATGACACCGTGTGTTTAAACAACGCAAGTATGTCCATGTGTTTCTTATAGGGTACACTTGAAACTAGTGATGTTTATGCAGTTCACTTATGTAACTTGAAAATCTGGTACTATTGCATTCAGGACTGAAATCTTGGAGTTTAGGTGTCTTGTCTCTCATTTTGAAAATAAGTGAAAGTTGAGAATGTAAAATCTATAAAGTTCATTATTTTAACTAGGAAAAAAACACAAATTAATGACAGACACCAAATTACAAATCCAAAAAGCTCAGAGAACACCAAGCAGAATGAATATTTTAAAAACATACCTAGGAATATCATATTCAAACCGTAGAAAACCTGTAACAAAGATAAAATATTAAAATAAGGCAGAGGAAGAAACACATTGTCTACAGAGAAACAGACATAAGAATTACATTGGACTTCTGTTTAGAATCCATGCAAGTAAGAAGTGTTGAAAAAATTAGAATACAGTGGGTATTTTTTATCCAAGTATTCATTATTTAAAACTGCAAAGTGAAAATAATTGTAACAAGAACATATTCACTAGCAATCTGAGCACTCATGATATTAGTGTCTGTTCTGGAGAGAATTATGTCCCCCCAGAATTCCTAACCTGAAGCCCTATCTCCCAGTGTGACTGTATTTGGAGAAGGAGCTTTTAAGAAGTTAAAGGTTAAATAGGGGCAAAAGGGTAAGGCCGTAATCTGTTAGGACTGGGGTCATCATCCAAAAAGGAAGAGTCACCAGAGATACATATCTCTCTCTTCTCTCTCTCTCTGCCTCCCTCCTTCTCTCTCTCTCTCCTTCTCTCCCTCTCCCCACATACATTTGTTAAATTGAGGTTTTTTGTTAGAACATATATAGTGGCATTTTAATATAGTATTACTCTACTTAAAACATACACACACACACACACACACACACACACACACAATTTTGATAAATTCTTTTTTGAGGATAAGGCCGGACATGGTGGCTCACACCTGTAATCCCAGCACTTGGCGGGATTATCATATGAGGTGGGTGGATCATCTGAGGTCAGAGGTTCAAGACCAGCCTGGCCAACATGGTGAAACCCGTCTCTATTAAAAATACAAAAAATTAGCTGGGCGTGGTGGCGGGCACCTGTAATTCCATTTACTCAGAATGCTGAAGCAGAAGAGTCCCTTGAACCCAGGAGGCGGAGGTTGTGGTGAGCCGAGATTGCACCATTGCACTCCAGCCTGGGCAGCAAGAGCAAAACTCCGTCTCAAGAAAAATACAATAAAATAAAAATAAAAAAACACAAAACTGGGATGTGTCCCTGTCTTTTAGGCAGATATACTTTACCATTACTAAAATTGAGCTTCAGAAACATTAAGCATGCTACACAAACTTAGCTGGAAATGAATACTGAAATGGAAGTTTGAATCCAAGATGATTTCTTTTGAATCCCATGCTAATGCTGTTAACTCCTATAGACCCTTCTCAGGTGCAGCCAGAGAGACACTAGCCCACTGATGGACGGACAGACGTGGGCAGGGTCCGTGTCACTAAACCACCCACCACTGCCACAGCTGCCTACAACAGACACATCAGATGACACTCCGGGCAAATAAATGATTTTCACTGAGGACTTACTGGTTTTAATAATAGGTCCTGGTGTAGAGAAGTCCCTCAACCTATTGTGCAATGAGTTTTGAGAAGCGGGTAAGCTGTATGTTTTGTGGTTTTGTTTCATAAATTCATCTACAGGAAGACCAATATTGACTGAATGAAGCTTTCATTTAAAGAGCTAAAATATGCTTTGTGTTTTTATATGTGGATACTACTTTAAACCTAACGACTATTCATTGTATCATAGCTTGTGATGTATTCTGCTCATGGCTTTTAAGGTAAATTGTGCCATGATCCACTGCCATTCTAATTGCTTTAACAAGTCATTACCACACTACTGTTACATCTTAATTATGCATACAGACAGGTAGACTTGTTTTACATATGTGAACTAACTAGTTGTCAAAGCAAATGCAGATTGTATTCTGCAAGTAAAGTCTTTTTCTCTCTGAAATTTCTAGGGATGTTCTTTAAGTGAAATTCATATTAAAACTGAAGATTTTAGTTACAAGAACTGAGTGCAGATTAAAGTCTTTTGTGATTCAAACATAGTCAAGAGTACAACTGTGATATTTCATGGAAGTTATGCAATAAAATGTCTCTAACCTGCGAACAAATCTATCAAGCAGACGGCACAGTACTGAATTTGAAACCAGAAATACTGGGTTTTTATATAAATGCTTCATAGATTTGTTTTATGATAAAGGGCACATAACTCTCCTAAACCTCACACCACCTCTTGAATAGGTATAATAAGTCCACATCAATGCTGATGCCTTAGCTATTATTAAACTCTTACAGTATGATGTAAAGTGAAAGTACAATGTAAGATCATTCCTAGGCCAACTTTGACCAGTTTTATACAGAAACATGTGCCAACTTTTCTGTTTGCAAGGATAATATCAAAGCAAACACCAGAAAGTTATATCTTTGATGCATTTTTTCAAAATCATACACATAATACACAAACCAAAGACAAATGATGAATATTACGTCAGAAAATATAAAGTCTTCCCCTTTCTTCTTTTGCCAAGAAAGTCCAATATTTTCACCATTTTTATGCACACAATCAACTTTATTTAAGCTGGAAGTTAATGTCTCATTGTTTTCATTGTTCTAAATAAACACCTTTTCCCTTGAGTATTGCTCTAAAAATTTTGAAGTTGTGTGAAAAATTTTGTTCTGATATTTCACATTTGTGCTAATGATATGTGAAAAGGAATACAGATGGTATTTAATTATGAACAGGAAAAGATGTTAAATATCATTAGTCATTAGAAATTTGCAAATTAAGACCACAATGACTAACACATATATATCAGAATAGCTAAAATAAAAATAAAACATCAAACTCTGGGGAGCATGAGTAAAAACTGGAGCTTTCACACATGACTGGTGGGAATGTAAAATCGTACAGCTATGCCAAAAAGTAGTATAGTAGTTTCTTAAGAAACTAAAGGAACCTGAGTCCCCAGGCCTGCAGTCTGGGCCAAGGTCACTGGCCCTGGATCAATCAGGATGGGGTTCAGGGGCCTTCCTGCGGCCATCCAGTGTCCAAGGTGCCCTTTGGTAGCCTCGTCTGCCCCTCAGCCCCTGAGCACGTCCCTCTGTCCCTCCAATCCCCCCTGTCATGAGACATCTGTCACAGAGCCATGCCCTACCTCCTGCTTTCTGGAGATGCCAACTGCCTGGGGTGCTCTTAGCCCTGCCCTCCCTATCTCTGGGTCCTGACCAAGGTGCTCTAATGGACACCCCCTGACCCAGGTCTCAGAGAGCTGCCAGCACCCTGGGTCCCTGAAGCTGAGATCCAGCAAGACACATGTGGCCTGAGAGTCCCACTCTCTGGCTGGCAGAACCCAGAGGTGGGAGCACACTGGAGTGTCCTTCAGGGTGTCTTCACCCCATGAGAGGGCTGGGGGCTTTGGGAGTTTGCAGCTGGCAGGAGTCAGGGCCCAGTCCCCTAACTCTGATGCGTCCTTGATTAAATCCTGTGCCTCAGCCTGCAGGGCCTATTGTGGTCACCAGGTGAATGTGTTCCCTTAGTCTGGGAGCCCCAAGTAGGCAGCACCCCCTGCCAACGACTTCAGGGCACTTGGAAGTGGAGGCTGAGAGGTCTCCCACTTCGCAGAGCTGGGCTCTGGCCCAGAGGCCTTCTCCTTGGCTTAGGTGGTCTCTCGGGCTCCTGGGGCTGCAGATCAGGGACAGAAACAGGGAACTCTGCTCTGCTATGCCTACAGAGAGGTGCCCAGTGAATGCAGGTTCCAGACAAAAGGTGGAGCCTGGCATCCTGCCCTGCATGGGCTCCAGCCTGCTGCCATCTGGGGAAACTGAGTCATGGCGAGGCTCAAGGATGTTTCTCAGACCACACCAGTCCCTGAAGGTCCGCTGGCCTCCCAATCTTGACGGACAGTGAGAAGAGGTTCCCAGGCCACCTGCAATAGGTTCTGGCTCGGCCTGGGTTGGGGTAAGTCTCCCGGCTGCTGTCCTCAAAGCCCCATCAGGAGGCTGTGTCAGGCCAGGCGCACCGTGGTGACAGCAGCATGGACTGAGGGTTCTGGCCACGGGAGAGGTCAGGACCGGGGAAGGTCAGGTCCAGGAGGAGGGCACTGGCCGGCACATGGTTGTGCTGGAGAGACCTGGGCAGCGTGGTGGGAATGGCCCAGGAGGAGCCCCGGCTCCTGTGGCTGGAGTGAGGGTGCGGGCTGTGGTGGGAGAGGAGGTGAAGGTGGAAGGAGCAGGGGCCCAGGGGCCTGTGCTGTAGGAACGGCATGGACTTCCTAGCGAGGACTTTCTGGTGCGGGATTCTCAGGGAAGAGGAGGCCGGAGGGGCTGGGGTCCCCAGGAGTGCATGCGCCAGGCAGGCGGAGGGGAGGCCGAGCCAGGAGCCGCAGGCTTCTCACCGCCAGGCCAAAGCCGCCCTTCGCTGGCTGCGTGGGGAATCGCGCCTAGGCTGGGGCTCCCCTGGCCCCAGGTTTGGGGGACGCCGATGTGTCCTGGGGTGCTTACTGCCCATCCAGCCTCCGCCAGGCAGCATGGCCCTGGGTGGCTTTCAGGGCAGCCTCCGCAGCACAAGACCTGCCTCTGCCCTGTGGGGCAGATTTGGGCATATGACTCTGGACACTTATCCAGAGGCTGAATTCAACTCCCCAGGGAAAAGCACACTCAGACTCCCTCCCTCCCCGCTGTGCCCAGCCTGAGGGGACACTGGCTGGGACTTGGGAGGAGAAGGCCAGAGGCCAGGGCCTGGCTCTCAGGCACTAGGTCCAGGAGAAAATGGAGCGGAGTCCCTGCAGGAACTGCCCCAGACTGCCCCTGAGGGGGCCTGGCCTGGGACCCTCCCTGTGCTACCAGGCTGCTGTTGGGGCCAGGAGGGCAGGGAGAGCAGCCACCTGTACGGCATCAAGTAACACTATCACTCAGCACACCCAACATCCACACAACAGCCACAGCCCTCTGCCCTGAGGGGGCAGGTGGGCAGAGCCTCCTCTGTCTTGTTCACCCTGAGCGTGGAGCTCCACACAGGACAGGATCAGAGAGCAAACCAGGAACAAATGGATGAATCAACGAAGGGGCCAGGGCAGTAGGTCCCCACCCACACCCTGAACCCTAAGGGTGGGACACAGAGGCTGGAGACGGGCTGGCCCTGGGATCCTCTAAGTGACAGGAACCCTTGGCCACTGTTGATTGCCCCGAGGTGGGGACAGGGATGGTGGGGCTGGGGCTGCCTGGCCCTTTAAAAGGGCAATTCTGCCCGCCGCCCTGAATGCCCCCTCCCCTAGCCACTGGAGAAGAGATCCCGTTTCTTGGCAACAGGAAGCTCTTGGTTTACTGTGTCACCCAAGCGACTGGGAGCCACGTCCTGCTCTGGGACTGAGCCTTTGGAGCCGACCGATGACTGCACTGGGCTGACCGCAACAAGCTGACCACACACACTCCTCACTCCCCTGGCCCTGGTGGGCGGCAGACACCATGGTGCAGACGGATGTGCTCCTACCAGAGCCGGCACCGCAGACAGTGTCGCCCTGCGAGCTGCCCTGCAAAGAGTATGACATGGCCCGCAACACGGGCGTCTACACGTCCTCCGGCCTGGCCACCGCCAGCTGGAGGTGTGGTTCCAGAACTGCTATGCTCGCTACCACCAGGCCTTCGCCGACTGCAACCAGTCAGAGCGGGAGCTGCAGGGGCACGAGAGCCAGCAGCTGGCCGCAGAGACCCAGGCGCTGGCACAGTCGACACAGCAAGACTCCACGTGCAGGGTGGGCGAGCGACTGCAGGACACGCACAGCTGGAAGTCGGAGCTGCAGCGCGAGGTGAAGGTGCTGGCTGCGGAGACCGACCTGCTGCTGGCCCAGAAGCAACGGCTGGAGTGCGCCCTGGATGCCATGGAGGTGCCCTTCTCCATTGCCACTGACAACCTGCAGTGCAGCCAGTGCCACCAGCACGCCAACCTTGTGCATGACCATGTGGAGACGGAGCTGCTGAAGGTGCCAGCAGCCTTGGGTGGCCAGGACTTGTGGGCACAGAGAGGAGGAGCCCCCGGCAGTTCATGTGGACAAGCCACGTGGCTGCTGCAAGCACACGGGAGACCAGCCCTCTATGCGTGAGACACCTGAGTCCCGAAATCTGGCCCCTTAGTGACAGGAGGCAGTTTTGCCCCAGAAGGCCCCTGACTTCCAAGCAGCTGTTTCTCCTCTCCTCCTCCAATACCTTTGAGTCCTGGCACAGTCATCCTGACCCTGGGCTCCCCAGAGACCCTCCCTGATTGGGACAGTTGCTCCCGAGGTGGAAACCCAGGTCTGGGCCAGCACTGCGGGTGTGGACAGGTAGGGCGGGATAGGCTGGGAGCCACTGCTCCCATTCATCCTATACAGAGCCGGGGACACGAAGATCTGCACCCACAGGTCCCCTTCTCCTTGTCACCTGTAACTTTCCAATCCAGCCCAGCTTGTCTATGGGGCAACCCCATAGGGTGAGAGAGTAACTCAGTCCTGGCCCTGATGCTGGCTCTGGAGAATTCCCTGAGCTCTCAGAGCCTGGGGCCTCCGTGAGAACCACTACAGGCCTGTAGACATTTGTGAAAGATGTGGGGTGGAGGCAGCTGGTCTCCTGCCATACCCCCAAACTCAGGCAAGAACCCTTGAGTCCCTCCCTCCCTTCATGCCTTCCCTCCTCCCTCCCTTCCCCTTCTGCAGGCCTATCCCCCTGCACCCTCTCAGTGCCTCAAGAACTGCTGCAGCTCCCGCAAACCCTCTGCCTGCAACAAGGGTGCCTGCGAAGTGATGGAGACACTGACAGTGCAGGAAGAGGCAAACCCAGGGACAGAGGGGTGCAGGACTCGGGCCCTGGCACACAAGGAGGTAGCTGGTGGTCGAAGCAAAGACCACAATCACAGGGAAAAAAGGCTTGTTCCTACACACAGAAAATTAAACTGTCCAGGCAGTAATAAGAAACATAGGGTCTTCCTCCTGTTCTTGGTGTGAGGATGGTCTTTCCCAACACAGAGCCCTGAGGGGCAGCCTGGGCGGGCATCTGGGCCCCCAGAGTTTGGGTCCTTGGGGGCTGTCCAGAGGCCAGGGGCAGGCCAACATTCCTGGGTGCACTGAGTGAGCAGCAGTGATGACTCTTGAGGCCTGGGGCGTGGGAACTGCCACTGAGGGACCTTCCCAGCAGCCCATAGAAGGCCCTGGAGGAAAACAACCCACTTACAACGCACCAAGGAGAATGCCCAAAAGCCCAGGATAAACCCAGTGAGAGAGCAGAACTTGCACAGTCAGAGCTCAGGCCCGGCATTCAACTATTTCTGGTTGCTCAGGTGTTGACCAAGGCCTTCAGCAGCTGGGCCTCCTGGGATCCTCACCAAGGACCGGATCTGGTGCTCAGGGCGTCTCCTCCCTCAGGAAGCTGAGCCCATCCGGAACATTCAGGAGCTGCTGAAGAGAGCCATCGTGCAAGCAGTGAGCCAGACCCTTGGGTCGAGGGCTGCCCAAGGGATGACTCCTGACCCCACCCACGGCTGGTCCTGGGGCAAGGCATTGAACGACAGAACCCTGAAGCTCAGAGCCGGCAGGGGCTGTCCCAGGTCACAGTGGAAGCACAGGGCTGGGTGGGGGAGGTTCCAGCCCAGCCTGAGTTTGAATGGCCAAAGCCCAGTGCCACAACTGATCTGCAGCCTCCCAGCATGGGCGGCAGCTCTTCGTCACTGCTGAGCACAAGGACAGCCGGCCCAGAGCTCCCTCCTGAAGCGGGCATGAAGGCCTAGCCTGCAGCATGGAGGGTCCCCAGTGGGGCCCTCCCTGGCCACACACCAAGGCCCTGCCCCACCCCGCCCCAGAATGAACCGAGAGCACACAGAGATCTGCGAGATGGACTGGTCGGACAAGGTGGAGGCCTACAACCTCGACGAGACTTGCGGGCGCCACCACAGCCAGAGCACCGAGGTGCAGGCTCATCCGGCACTCCACCACCTTCCAAGAGATGGGGGCCCCAGCTCTGTCCCCGTGCTTGCCCTGGCTGTGGTCTCGCCTCCCTCTGCCTGGGGGCCCCAGCGGCGCTGCTTCCCCCAGCCTGGCCCAGAGGCCCTCGCCCCCGAGGGCACTTGGGCAACTGTTTGCCCTGGCATGAGAAAGCGTGCAAGACCTCCTCAAGTGCCCAGCGCGTGCACAGCCTGGTTGCCCGTAGACAGGACAGGGTGGGATGCGGTCAGTCCCAGGCGCCGGCAGGATTGCATTTCCACCCAAGGCCAGCAGAGGGAGCACGACCACCGCCCACTTGAGCATGGCAAACTCCTGGGTGCGAGAAGCGGACGCGGGCGCTGGGTACTAGGGAAGGGGGGCTGCGGGAGACAGAGGTGCTGCAGAGGGGGCCTCGGGGGCAGCGGTGCTGGGAACGGGGTCGCGGGGGCAGGAGGGGACTAAGTGCCCGGGGTGGGTAGGGTGTGGGTGGACTCAGGGGAGTTGTGGGCGGGGGGCACTCGGAGGCAGGGAGCTTGGGGGACTGGGCTTCGTGGGTCTGCACGGGGTGCATTGGAGTCCATGCAGTTCCTCCAGGAGCATGGGGTGCAGACAGGGAATGGGGGCGCGGCAGGGCCCCCAGCCATTGGCAGAGCCTCCCTGACCCTCTCCTGGCTGTCCCCAGCCCCGCAGCGCCTCCACCCCAGAGACCCGGACCAAGTTCACACAGGACAATCTGTGCCACGCCCAGCGCGAGCGCCTGGACTCGGCCAACCTGTGGGTGCTTGTGGACTGCATCCTTCGCGACACCTCCGAGGACCTGGGACTCCAGTGTGACGCCGTGAACCTGGCCTTCGGGCGCCGCTGTGAGGAACTGGAGGACGTGCGGCACAAGCTGCAGCACCACCTGCACAAGGTGGGGCACCCTGAACCCCGAAGACGGCTCCGGCGCCTGCCCACCACTCTGCCCCCTCTCATCACCTGGCCTGGGCCCTCAACACCTTTCTCCTCTGTCCCACTTATCCCGAGGGACCCCAGAAGCAAGTGTCACCTCTCCGTAAACCTATGTAAAACCAGGTGACACTGGGTATGATCGCAGTGTGTTGCAACCCCCATGACTGAGCAGGAGGAGCTGTGGGGAGGATGGAGGCAGGAGCTGGTCTGGGGAGCATTGACTGCCTGGGAGGTCCCCAAGAGTCCTGGCCTGGCAGGCAGGGCTCTGACTCTAGGGCCTCAGCATGGCCTTTACCACCTCTGAGTCCCCAGTCCTTGAGCAGGATTTGGGTCCTGGTGACCACCAAGGATGGGGGTTCTTGGACCAGAGCTAAGAGACAACAGGCTGCCTGACTCTCCAGAGCCCGCTGGGGGCCCTGTGCACATTGTTCCCCTCATCCACGCCTCCCCAGAGCCACTGGTCAGGACCACCCTCTGGACACAGCCCCAGGAGCTGGGTAGGACCAGACTGGTCTCCACATTCCATATGCCCGGGCATGGGGGCACAGGCCCAAGGGGCACTGTCCTGTCTGCAGATGCTGCGGGAAATCACAGATCAGGAACACAACGTGGTGGCACTGAAGGAGGCCATCAAGGACAAGGAGGAACCTCTGCACATAGCCCAGACCCGGCTGTACCTGCTCTCACACCGGCCCAACATGCAGCTGTGCCGCGAAGCAGCCCAGTTCAGGTACTGCCTGGGCCTCTGAGGCAGTCCCAGGTGCCCCCGTCCACCTCCTCGCTGTGACCCTCTCCAATAAACACTCCAATCTCCACACACACATCCCCCACAGGTGCTGAGAGGGGAGGGAGAGTTTGCGGCCACACACAACACGCAAGCACGCCTTAAACACACAGATATAGACATGACACTGGGCAGGTCATGGGTCGGGGGCCTCCCAGTGCCAGGGACCTGTGCCCACGTGGTCTCACCCCACCCTGTGCTACCTCATCTTCCCGGGAGGAAGCTCCTTCAGACAAGGTGAGCTCCTGGAGGCCACGGGGACAGAGAGGCCAGAGAGGGCCATTCCCTGCTGCCTTGAGGGTGCTGTCCCCACCTCTGGTGGAAAGTATGACCTACGCCTGGGCTACAGGCATAGATGGGCCGTCCTTTTGTTTCCCTTGTTAACGGATGCCTGGTGGCCCCTTCTGAGCCTAAGTACCTTTCTTCCTTCCCTGCCCCTCAGTTCCTTCAAGGAACTGGGTGCCTCCTTCCGTCAAATATCAGGAATGAAAAGAACTGAGCCTGGTCGGCTGAGGCCAGTCCTGTCCTGTCAGGGTCGAGATTGCACGCGGGTCACTCATTCCCACTGAGGCCCGCGCTCCCTGGGAGGACCCTCGTAATTTATGCTCTGCCCTAGAGCCGCTTTCCTGGTGGGATCCTTTCATGGCGTCTTCCCAGGACCTCCTGCCAGCTCCCATTGGGAGTTTTGGGTCCCCTGCACCCCGGTAGGTGCATACTTCTGCCCTCCCCAGCCCCAGCTCACACACCCAACACCCCCAAGCTGGTGAGTGAGGTGGAGGAGCTGAACATGTCCATCACAGCGCTGTGGGAGAAGCTTCTAGAAGGGGAGCAGTCCCTTTGCAACCTCGAGGACATCCACATGAGCCTGGAGAAGGATGTTACCGCCATGACCAACAGTCTCTTCATCGACCGCCAGAAGTGCATGGCCCATCGTACTTGCTACACCCCCATCCTGCAGCTGGCTGGCTACCAGTGAGCAGCGGCACGGTGCTTCCCCCCAATCCCCCAAATAAACAGTGCATTAGCTTTCTGCACAGTGTGTGTGTGTGCCCGGTGGGACCTCCAGTTGCTGTCCATCTGAACTGGCCTTTGGGTCCCCTGTGAGGCTGGCTCTGCCTATGGACTCGTCATCCCAACAGTTGGAGAAGAGGGGTCAGAGCTGACGACGAGGAATCCCTGTGCTTCAGAGGACAGGACATGCCCAGGTGGGGACTGGGGCTCCACAGCACAGCTCAAGTGTGGGCGCAGACCGTGTGTCCCGCTCAGAGCCAGGCCACCCAGCTCCCCCTCCCCAGTTCCCCACCAGTGCTGGCTCCTCCATTCCCTCACCAGAGTCTTAGGGCCTTGGGACATCTTTGCGGCCTCTGCATCTCCCCAACTCCTCCCCCTGCACCTCCAGGCCCCCAGCCTCAGCTCACATACCCCTGTGACAGTGCGCTTATTCTGCTAGAAGCTGGTCTGGCTGCTGGGTGCACTTGCCGTGGCGATCCTCCAGGCAGGCCCCACGCAGAAGCACCCACTTCAGCATCCCCTCTCTGTCCCCAATGACAGTGTGTACCTGAGCTCAGCCCAGCCCAGCTCTCAGTGCCCAGGACCCCTGAGGCTCAGATGGGCAGATGGGCAGATCGGCAGGGGTACATGGAGTTCCCTTCTGGGTGTGGGCCTAGTGTGGGGAGAGGGGCCTGAGAACAGCCCAGGGTGGGCATCCACCTGGAGAGCATGTGGGTGGGGGTCCCATCTGCAAGATCCAGGCCCACAGGGCTCTTGTCTCAGCCTGGAGGGGACCGGGAGGTAACAGCCCCTTCCCCCCAATCAACCACAAGGACACCCAGCTGGGCAGCTCTGTGAGCTGGGTGGGGTCAGCCAGGTGGAAGTTGCTGCTGGGGGTTGCTGGGAGGAGAGGCATGGGCTGCCTTTCACGTGGGGCTAACTCAGACCTCTCTCCCCGACCTGCTAGGACCCCTCCAGAGGCCACTGCTGAAGACGAAAAACACTACTGCCGTTCACTGGGGGAGGTGATAATGTTGACTGCAGGCAGTTGGCTCGGGGAGGAGCCTTCTTGGGAATCCTACTCAGCCTGGATGGGGAGAAATCTGGGAGAGGCTGTGTGTGAGCAGGCAGTGCAGGGAAGACTTCCTGGAGGAGGGAGCCTGGCTTCCACCGCACAGGCCAAGGCACAGGGGCTGGGACCAGGGAAGGAGGTGTCTGGGCTAGGCCTCTCGCTTTATCTTGAGCTCTGGTTCACTGTGATAGGCTCGTTGCTAACCAGGCCCGGCCCTCCCCAGCTCCAAACCCGACTGCCAGGCAGTGAGGATTCTTCTTCCCACCCGGCCACTCTCAGAGATGCAGACACAGACCCTGGAGGGTGGGCCCGAAAGCTTCCAGGACCTTCTCTCCAGTGCAGATTCAGGGGGAACTGTCGTTTCCCATCACCACGGAAGCCACACTACTTGTCACAAGCCACCAGTCACTACAGTGACACCCAGGCCCACTCTTATTCTTTGGGGTGCCATTTAAATTCGCCCTGGATGCTGTTACCATGGGGCTTTGACAGCCAGGAGCAGAGGCAGTGGGACACAGCAGCCAAGTCTCACCTGGGGGCTGCAGACAGTTGGTGTCCTGTCCATGTAGCTCCTCAAAGCTGTTCCAGGACACCAGGCAGGGGCTGAGGCAATGACCTGCCCAGGGAATACCAAAGAACCATCTCCCTGCAATCACCCCCACCCAGCACAGGGAAAACCTGCAGTGAGGCAGATGGTGGTGAACTCAAAGGCCCCTGAGCTGGGGGAGGTTGTTGGGTGGGGGCTTCACACCCTGCCACCCTAGACACGATGGCCAGGGAGGGGTCAGCTGTGGGAGGGTGGTGTCTGCAGTGCCCTCCCTGCCTGCTGCAGGGGGATGCAGGTGGTCCAACACCATCCTGGGCCTGGTCAGCCCTGGTGCCAGCCTCAGCACAGTAGCGAGGAGTCCTCCAAGAGAGCCAGGAACCTCCATGGGAGGTGGGTGGGGGTGAGGACCCCCTATGCTGTGCCCACCCCAGCCTCAGAGGGAGCTGCTGGCACTGTCCCCTCTTGAGCAGCAGTACTTCTCCCAGACTTTAGGGAAGTAGCCACTAAGAAGCCCAAGAAACAATGGCTCCCTCCCTGCAGGCCCCACACTCAGGCTCCCATTATCGCCTAGGCCCAGGTGGTGCTGCCCAGCCCTGTCGGGTCCCCATCAGTCTCAGGACCTCCTTGTCCCACCCTGGAGGGTGTGGCTGATGGAGAGCTGAGTGTGGAGGATGCCAGGGGAGGGGGCCTGGGAGACGTATTTCATCTCTGATGCCGGATGGTGGCACCAGGCTAGGAGGCACCGAGCTAGGTGCCATCCTGATCACATGGCAGGTTTTAACTCCTTCAGGCCTCATGACCGCCTCACTATCACATGCATTTTACAGCAGGGAAAACTGAGGCTTGACGGTCCCTGCGCCCACTGTGCTCCCACCCCAGGGACAGGTTGATGCAGGGGAGGCTAATGACAGCAGTGATGGAAGTCACTCCCAGCTAGAGAGAGGCCAACGCCCCTGGCCCACAAACTTCATGACTCAGTGCAGAGCCAGCACCTGGGGCTGCTGGGCCAGAGCCCTAAGGGCTGTCTCCTCATGCTGAATTCCCTGCTGACCTCCAGATTGTCCAACCCCCACCCCTGAGGCCATCTGGACACTGGCAGCTGCAGCTAACCCACAGGCCCCTCTGTGGAGTCCCCGTTGGCCTGGCCTTGAACTCCTACCCATGGTGGAGATCAGGTGTGGCTTGCTCCAGGAAGCCTCTTGGCTCCTGGGGATTGGGAGAGTGGCCGGAGGTGATTCAGACCTCCAAAGTGGGCAGGAAGGTGGATGCCCACACTGGGCTGTTCTCAGGCTCCTCTCCCCACCCTGGGCTTCTAGCACAAGAATAAAGAAGGCTCCAGCAGCTCTTGCCTAGAAGAGACTATGGTACCTCCTGTCCCCGGCAGTTCAGGGAGGGAGCGGTTGCTGGGGGCTGCTGGCCTGTGGCTGTTACTGACCGGGTCAGGGTGGGGATGGAGACATCCAGGCCCTGCCATCTGAGGGGTGCAGGTGGGATGTGGCCCAGCTGCAGCATAGCCCTCTCCCAACCCCAGCCTGTCCTGACCCTCAGTGAGCCCACATCCTAGAGTCAGAGCTGTGTTCTGTCCTCTGTGGAATCCAGTGGAGCCTGGACACAGCTGCCCCCTCCGTGTTGGGGTCGCCCTCGGCTGTCCCATGTCGGGGTTCCCTCATCTGCCCCCTGTGCAGTGGCTCCTAGAGATCACTCTCACAGGCATCAGATGCATGGCTCAAGGTCGGCGCCAGTGCCCCTGGTGCAGTGCCCACTGTCCAGCCCACACGGCCACCCTGGAGGGCTGCAGTGGAGCCTGCGGTAACAGGATCCTCACTCCTTCAGACCCCCACTCCCCTCCCACACAGGCTGGCCACTGGGCTGTGGCTCATGGGCTGCCTGCCTTGTGCTAAAAATGGAACCCCAGACTTTCTGGCTTTAATAATACAATCCTGACCCCCCAGGGCCCTCCCCATTTCGTGGGAGCACCCCAAACATCTTCCATGGGAAAAATAGGACACAGAAACCCAGGCATCCAGGAGCCCAAGGTCTCACACCCAGGGAGCGAAGGGCTTGCCAAGGCTCTTACCCCAGTGCCCATCACCCCTGCCAGCATCCCAGATTACAGTGGGGGAGATACCATTGGGTGTCCATTGGGAGCCAGCCCCAGGAGCACAATGTACAGCAGCACTTTCCTGTCGCCATGGCTATGCTGCAGCCATGAGTGACCAGGGCTCTTTCTGTCCAGGAGACACCTGGGGTCCCCGAGCCACAGTGGCTCAGCCACCAGCCCTGCCAGCTGCCTGCCCAAATGGATGCTCCCCAGGCCACCCAGACCCTAGGGACTGGAGAGAGCTCTTCTCCTGTCCATTCAACCACCCTTCAGCCTCCCTCCACCCTGCCCTGCACTTGGGGAGTCTCTGTGACCAAACCCCCACACAAGGATCTCACAAGAATGCCCTTCTCTGTTCAGGGGCAGGTCTTCTGGCATCAGGGAGCATTGAAGGAAGCACATGGAGAGGGGGACTGGGGTTCCCCATGACTGTGGCCCAGCAGCCCCCCACACCTTCCCCCACAGGGGATGCTCCCAGACACTTCTGAGCTGCCTTGGGTGCCCATTTCACAGGTAAGGAAACCAAGGCTCAGATCCAGGGAGCTGCAGTATGTGCGCATCCACCTGTCTTTCTCCACGAGCCCCAGGAGCTCAGGAGCAACAATGGGGAGCCCCTGCCCTGCTTGCCCCTATCCTGTCACAGGCCCACAGTCTCCCCTTGGGGATGTGGCTGCCCACCTGCAAAGCTGTGTCCTCATCACCCAGGTCTGAGCCGTGCAGAGCTGGTTCCAATGGCTGCAGGCACCACAGTCGCAGAGCTGGAAGAAACAAGAATCCTCCCCAAGAGTCTGCAGAGGGAGTGCATTTCTGCCCACACCTTGATTTTGGACTTGTGGCCTCCAGAACTGTGAGAGAATAAATTCCTGATGTTGTAAGCCATCACTACAGCAGCTCCTGGACACTAATATTGCTCAATTCGTCCAGGCTCCTCTCTCTGTTTGTTGTTGTTCTAGGTTTTTCTGAGACAGGGTCTGGCTCTGTCCCTCAGGCTGAAGTACAGTGGCACAATCATAGCTCACTGTAACCTCCATCCTCTAAACTCAAGCCATCCTCTTGCCTCAGCCTCCCCCACAGCTGGGACTACAGACAGTGTTGCCATGGCTGGCCAACTTTTAAATTAGGTAACCCTTCCCAATAACTTTCACGATTAGTTAACATCTTCTACATTCCTATGTATTTTCCCCTTTTTAATACAAACACATGCCCATTAAATAAGCAAAATAGGAAAAAAAAAATTTAATCACCCAAAACCCTACCATCTACTTACCAGAGAGACAATAATGGCACAGGGATATACTGCCAAATTACATTAATTTTGGTAATCCAAAGCAATAGAAAAATCTCCAGTTTTCAATTTATTCTTTTTAGATTTCTAATCAAGAAAACCTATTTTCTACACTAAAGCAAATATATACAAAAGGAAAAGACACACTTATGAAGCAAAGGGATGAACTGGAGTCCTAATGTTATGAGAGGCTGGTAGTCATTCATTTCTCATCACTGAGGTATTTTCAGAAAATATCCATGGTTCCCAGAACTTTAACAAGCACAATAATCCACTCTTAGATACTTGAAAGTCAGATAAGAAGACATCTATCCCTTAACTAGTTGTTATACACTCTATGTAAATAAAACCATATAATTTAAATTTCCTCAATTAATTCTCACAGACAGTACCCAACCTCACATCACCATGATCTCTGACATGTCAATGTTTTATTGTAAATCGTGACAGACTATCTACATATATACTCATGATTTACAATTTGAGATTGTCAACCCAGCCAGTAACCTACGTAGCACTGAATTCAAATACCAGAAAAAGGACCCAGATTCCCTCACCACCTAGCAGAGCTCAAGTGAGTTACACAGCCTGGTAGGGAATGGGGAGTAATTAAAAGGTTGTAAGCAGGTACTACTATAGTCAGATGAGTTTTTGACAGGTTATTCTAAAAGCACTGAGAAAAGAAAACTGTTGTAGTATTCCAGATAAGATTATGTGGTCTGTAAAAGGACAGTGTCAAGGATATAGAAAAGAAAAATCAAGGAATTTCAAAGGGTAAACTGGATGTGATTATATAGTACCACATCAAATGAACATCAGGCTCAAAGAAGGCACGGGGGAGCAGGAGGCTGCTTTCCCCAGGTACTCTCTTTCCCAGGCTTGCCCAGCAGTCCTAGCAACTGACTATATATATATATATGGAAACCATCATTCTGAGCAAACTATCGCAAGGACAGAAAACCAAACACCACATGTTCTCATTCATAGGTGGAAATTGAACAATGAGAACACTCGGACACAGGATGGGGAACATCACACACCGGGGCCTGTCGTGGGGTGGGGGGAGGGAGGAGGGATAGCATTAGGAGATATACCTAATGTAAATGATGAGATAATGGGTGCGGCACACCAACATGGCACATGTATACATATGTAACAAACCTGCACATTGTGCACATGTACCCTAGAACTTAAAGTATAATAAAAATAAGAAATAAAAAAGTCTTCCTCAAGTTTATCATCAAAAAGTGCTACACATGATTTACAAGTATTTTCTTCCATCTTGTGAGTTGTCTTTTCACTTTCTTGATGGTGTCCTTTGAAGTGCAAAAATGTTTAATTTTGATGAAGTCCAGTTCATCAATTTTTATTCTTGTTGCTGGTCTCATATTTAAGAAAACTTTGCCAAATTCAAGGTCATGACAATTTACTTCTATGTTTGCTTCTCAGGATTTTATAGTTTTAGTCCTTACATTTATGTGGATTAGCTCAAAATGGATCCATTTGATCCAATTACTTTGCACCCATAGTTTTTGTATATGGTGTTGGGTAAAGGTCCTACTCCAGGTTTTGCATATGTTTACATATCTAGTTGTCCTTGTGCCAGTTCTCAAACTTCTTTCCCCACTGAATAATCTTGGCACTCTTGTCAAAAGCAGTGGTTATATATGTACGGGTTCATATCTGACTCTCAATTCTATCCCACTGGTCTATACATCTATCCTTCTGCTAGTATTATATTGTCCTGATTACCATTGTCTTGTAGTAAGTTTTAAAGTCAGTAAGTATGAGTTCTTCTACTTTGTTTCTCATTTTCAAAAGATTATTTTGGCTATTCTTAGTCCCTTGCAATTCCATATGAATTTCAGAGTCAGCTTGTCGATTTTACAGAGAACTCATCTGGGATTCTGACAGGGATGAAGTTAAATCTGTAGATGAGTTTAGGGAGTACTGCCTTCTTAACAATGTTAAGCCTTAGGTTCATGATCATGGGATACTTTTACATTTATTTAGATCTTCTTTCATTTCTTTCAACAATGTTTTATAGTTTTCAGAGTACAAGTTTTACACTTCTTAAATTTATTAGTATTTTATTCTTGTTGATGCTATGATAAATGAAGTTGCTTTCTTAATTTCATTTTCTGATTGCTCATTGTGAGTATGTAGTATTCAGTTAAAGTGTGTCAAATACTATTGATTTTTGTATATTGATCTTGAATCCTGCAACCCTGATGAACACAAGGGATTTGTGTCTGGCATACATAAGGAACAATTACAATTCTGTAATAAAAAGACAAAACAACCCAATTAGAGATAGATAATTCAAGAATGGATAAACAAACTGCAATACATGCAAACAAATGGAATATTATTCTGCAATTTAAAAAATGAGCTATCAAGCCATGAAAAAGCACAGAAGAACCCTAAATGTATACTGCTGGGTGAAAGAAGCCAGTCTGAAAAGGATACATACTACATGATCTATTATATGACATTCTGGGAGAGGCAAAATTAGAGAGTAAAAAGATTAGTAATGACCGGGGGTTTGGGAGGAAGAGGAGGTGGAGGAATGACTCAGTGGAGCACAGGAGATTTTTAGGGCAATGAAACTGTTCTACATAATACTATAATGGTGGGTACATGACATTATACATTTGTCAAATCCAAAAATCTATAAAACACAGAGTGAACCCTGAAGTAAACTATGAATTTCAGATATAAGTATCAGTTCATCAAATCTAATCAATTTAGCACAGTAGTGCAAGGTGTTAAGAGTTGGGAAAACTGGGCGGGGGCACTGTAGGGGAGCATATGTGGACTCTCTGCACTTTTCTCTCTATTTTTTCTAAAACTGCTAAAAAAAAGTCTATTGTTTTTAAAATAAAATGATCCCTAGCAGGAAAAAAAAATGACAAAAGATCTCAACAAATATTTCCCCAAAGAAGATATACACATGGCCAATAAGCATGAGAAAAGACACTGGACATTACCTTCAATAGGAAAATACAAATCAAAACCACAAGGAGATACAATTTCACATACATTATAATAGCTACAATTAAAAAGTCACACAGTAAGTGTTTGTGAAGATGTGGAGAAACTTAAATTTTAATACACTGCTGGAGGGAATAAAAAATAATGCAGCCATTTCAAAAAGTAGTTTGGCAGTTCCTCAATTAGACAGTTATATACATCTGAGCAATTCTGCTCCTAGATAAACACCGAAGACAAATGTCTACACAAAAACTTATACACCAATGTTTATAGCAGCATTATTCATAATAGCCAAAAGGGGTAAACAATGTCCTAAATATCCATCAACTGACAAGTGCATAAACAAAATCCAGTGTATCCATGTACAGAGTATCATGTGGCCATAAAAAGTAAGTACTGATACATGTCACAGCATAGACAAACCTTGCAAGCATTATGCCAAGTGAAAGAATCCAGTAACAAAAGCCCATATGATAGATAATCCCATTTATATGAAACACAGGCAATAGGGAATCCAGAGGCAGAAAGATTGGTGATTGCCAGTGCTACAACTGCGGGGGTGCAGATGATGTATGTAGAGAGACAGAATTGAAAGCTAAACGGCACAGGAGGCAGGGTGTTGTGGTCCATGCCTGTACTCGTAGCTACTAGGGAGGCTGAGATGGGAGGATTGCTTGAGCCCAGGAGTTCAAGGCTGCACTAAGCTATGATTACACCACTGTACTCCAGCCTGGGCTGGTCGACTGAGCAAGACCCCATCTCTTAAAATAAATAAATAAATAAATAGAAAGAAAATAAGCTAAAGGGCATAGGATTTTTTTTTGAGGTGGAAAAACAATTCTAAAATTGATTGGAGTGTTGTTTCCCAACATCTGTGAATATACTAAAAACCACTGAACTATATACTTCGAGTGGGTGAATTACATGGCATGTGAACTGCCAATAAAGCTGTTTTAGAAATCCTAATATTTGCTGTGCTATAACTTCAGCAAAGCACCGCAGGGCAATAATTGCAGAGCCAACCCTATCATTACAGTATGACACAGGAAAACTTAAAACTGCACTTATGATCAAGCTATATGCAGAGCATATTAGCACACCAAAAATAAATGACTACACTAAAGACCCATCCTTCAAGGATTACGGAATTTAAGTGCTGAAAAGGAGAGTAAAACTACTCTGTTTTTTTTAAAAAGGTAAGAACTCACAACTTAATTAGTCACTTGTAAAATTCTGGATTGCTAAGAGATTTTCAGATATAATTTAAAAGAAAACACACGACCAAGACAATAATGAAAATCTATACATAAATTTACTATTACCTTTAGCTTCTGAACGCACAGCCAAAAATCCATCTTCTGTCACTGCTTTAAACAAAGGTCTGACTCCTTACGTATCTCTGTCCAGGGACACTTTCTTATTGGCAGAATCCAGTAAAAGAAATGCAAACACACCATCCAACATACAAATTGTTTGCTCAATTCCTCCTTTGTCATAAAGATGAAGGATTATCTCACCATCCACTTTGGTCTGGTATTCAAATTCAAACTGGTACTGCACCTTAGGAAGCAATAGCAAAACCAAAACATTATAGACTCCTTGTGCATCCACTAATAATTTTTTATCACAAAGTTGCTTCAGTATTTCTGGAGCCTTAAAATCATTTCATGCACTTTGGTGATTTAGGAGAATCATAGCATTATCAAACTAGGGTTTGCTTCAACTCATAATTCTGCAAATTCTGTTCAACATAAAGCTGAACCCATGAAAGTTTTAGTTGCAGTCTGATAAACAGAATATAATGGGAATGTACCAGAATAGTAACCTGTAGAGGAATGGAAATTCATATTATATACATACTATGTATGTGATACATAAATATTTTATATATGCAGATTGAGTATCCCTTATCTGAAATGTTTGGAACCAGAAGTGTTTAGGGTTTCGGAATTTTTTTTTGGATTTTATATTTGCATCTACGTGAGGTATCTTGGCGATGAGATCCAAGTCTAAACGTGAAATTCACTTATGTTTCATATATCTTATACACATAGCCTAAAGGTAATTTTATATAATATTTCAAATAATTTTGTGAATGAAACAAAGTTTGTGTACATGGAACCATCAGAAAGCAAAGGTGTCACTATCTCAGCTTCCATGTGGAAAATCTGTGGCTGTCTGATGTCACTGACCATCATTTCTGACTCTGAATTTATATGCTACTGATGAGCAATCATTTTCACACAATTATTCACACATAAGTAAAAATATGACATGACATTAATACAGTAAAAAATAATAAGCAACACAGTAGCATCACCAGAATACCTGCATCAGCTGTTAAACAGCTGTATAAACAATGGCAAGCTTTCAGGCTCCACCTACAAGGCTGCGTTTTGATTAAAAGGTTACTGTACATTGTATTTTTTTTTTCTTTTTTTAGGTGAGAAGAAATATCAGGAGTTGAGCAACTAGGAGGTGAGTCCTCTGAGGCTGAGGAGGCATTCTGCCAGATGGCTTTTTATAATGTTTCTCCAGAGTCATCTGCCTCATTATCAAGGGCTTTTGTCTTGGAAGTCTCTCTTTAATTTTATAAACTGACATGACCTCTTGTTCTGTTATGAATGCAGGTAGCTCTAGTCCTTCAATATCTTCAATATCTCTATCACACATTTTCACCATGTCATCTATACCTTTACACTACAGTCCAATTTCTCCAACAGCTTGACTTTCTGTGTTCTAAGTGTTTCTACTTTTCCTTATCATTGCTGCTCGCAGGGATACCTACAGGTCTTATTGACATTTTCAGTATGTTAACACCACAGAGCAGAGAATAAGCAAAAATACACAATGAGTAATGCACTTAGGTCCCATCTGTGGGGATCCTGCCATTGGCATGTCCAGCTTGCACATGTGCCATTCTGTGACCCTTTGTGTGGGTGCTTGCATGGGGAAATCTGAGCATGTGTAGAAAAGTTATACTGCAGCTGAAGGGGGCTGAGAGGGTCTTTTTCCACTAGAGAACATCAAATAAACTGTGTGTTGTTCACCTGCACTTTGACTGGGACATCCATCAAAATCCACATGTGGTGTCATGTCAGTGCTCAAAAAGTTTCAGATTTTGAAGCATTTCAAATTTCAGATTTTCAGATTAGGGATGCTCAACCTCTAAATTTAATTTAAGGTAATATGTTGCTTGGTTGCCATGACACTAAAAAACGTGTCTTCTGCAACTGTCAACTTTTGGTTTGAGAAGACAGTATTGGCTGAGAAGTTCCTCCAGTTCAGCTTCAAAGACCTAGCTATAAAAATGTAAAGCAAAGGGACAAACATCATTTGGCATCATTCCCTGAAAAATAAATGGCTCCATCACAATAACAGATACATGATCCAAAACAAAGCTGCTTGTCCTCAGGTGAGGATGACAACGCCCAGAGCGCCCACCACTGCAGTAGCATTAAAACTACTGCTCACTGAGAGATAAAATGATGGTGGCACTTTAATAGTCTGCATGTCCCAAAGGAACAGCAAAGGGACTGTCTGCCACTGCATGCAGAGCAAAAAAGTTTGATTAGGCTACTCACCAATTCTGACACTCTCCACCATCACTGGCAAACTTTGAGGATGAAAAGTCCTTGATGTATTTCTCTTTGTATGTCATACTCACATTTTTGGCTGACATTAGACAAATAAGAGGTTTAAATCAGGTGGGAATCCTAGGTTAAGGTTAAAACATGTTTTCAAATCTCAAAAAGTAAACCTATTATGTATGTGCACGACCCATAAATACGCTTCACACTCCATCCAGCTCACTGCATAATTTGTGAACCTTTTATCTGTAAGCCCTCAATGAACTGTCCAAAAATGGGCTTTGCCTCCACTGACTATAAAGTCACTACCTGGTCACCCCTCTCTGCTCTATCAGGGATGATCTGTAACTAGCAGGTGGGGTCTGGAAACAGTCTTCTGCTGACTGTCCTGGGCTGAACTGCCTGAAGGGTAAGTCACTTACCACTTACTTTATGGTCACTTACCATAAAGCATGGAAAACTGTCATTAGCTGAAAGAAATAAACCCAGCACCTAGGACAATAAATACATGCCATACACTCCCAAATAGAAGACGAGGCTCCAATTTGTTTTCTGCCTCTTAGGAGCTTATAAAACTAAAGTTCACAATTAATGGGGAAGGGAGGAGACAGATGATCTTCATTGCCTTAGTTACAAACTTGCTTTGGTCTATGCTGATCCTGTGTTAAACTGTGAAATAGAATCTATCATCCTGGCTCTCAGAGGCCCTTGACTTCAGCCTTTTAGTGCTTTTCTTACTTATTTTCAAACCTTCACCTCTCTCACATTGAAATTTCCAACTCTTAATACCCTCTCTAAAAAACTACCCCTTCCCACCAACCACCACCTACCCCACTCTATCATCTAAATCTGTTTCAAGATATAAAAATCTTGGTAATTTATATCTTAACAAAAATTACATACTACCTTTTCAAAAAGAAAGTTAAGCCTGATTCTAATTGTGGGGTGAAAAGTTTTTTCCCTATGAAGAAATGTTAAATATCATCAAGCATCTTGAGAGGTGCTAGCGAGGGCATGGAGCAAGGAATCAAATTCCATAGGCGATTGTTTTCTCTATCTTTATATAAAAATGTCCTTGCCCCAATTAAAGCCTCCACCAGGTATAAAAAGAAAGCGTTTGGTGATATTAGCAAGCAACAGTTTCCCAAATCTACCTTGCCCACCTCTTTGGCCTAAACTCTGCAGGTAATTTATTTAAAAAAGAGAAGAGTCCTTTGGGTAACAGATGTATCACTTCCTACTCTCTTAAACCAAACTCCGATGCTGCATTTTAGATAAAAGCCCTCAAATCTGGCCTCCTGAAGTCATGCTGTCATTTAACTTGGCTTCAGGCCCCTGATATTCCCCTGCAGGGAGAGAGCCTGCTCTTTGCCCCAGCCTTTACCCCGTTCCTACTTTCTTTCACTCAGTCCCCCTCCACTCCCAGCACACCTCTGGCTGTATTTTATTAGTAGTAGTAAACTTTATTTTTATCAAAAAGGGGGTAGGGGGTATTTTTGAACTTATGTTGCAGAATACTTTATATAAGCCTAAAATATACATTCTGTTCATTAGATTTCTAGCTGCCCCAACTACATAAGCTGAGATGCTTGGTAGAAGCAATGGAACAAACTTCTCTAGTTTTACAAATATAACATTTGAATAATTTAGAACAGAAATTAATTGTTTTCAAAATATTTAACTTCTTTTAGCTTTTTAGAAAAAAAAAACACTGTCTGAGTAAAACAGGGCACTTTCTATTTCATTTAAGGAGAAAGCCAAGCTGATAATGCCATCATACCACCTAGCTTTCTCATGTATATGACACTGATTTGACTTGGAAAGAAAAAAGTTTTAATACTCTCTTCTACTTCCCACTAGCAGGAAATTCCATTCTTGCCTTTCCTTTTCACCATTTCATCTACAATCACCTAGAAAAATGATGTCTGGTGCATATTAAGACCTTAATAAAGGAATAAAGAAATGTGTGAAAGGAATTTCTTGAATAACTCTTTTAAAAATTTTGAAGAAGAAGACTATTATTAAGAGTGTTCCCGTGAGCAGGCAACAAACAATGACAAAAGCTATTATTCAGAGATAAAAATGTCCAAAACATGGTTAGGATATAACTCTCTATCAGTGCATGACAGGTATCTATCAAGAAGTCTCAGAAAAAATACCAAGAAACATCACAACCAAATGCATGAATCTTGAATGAAATCTGTCTCTAAACAAACAAATACCAGCTATAAAGATATTCTTGGTAGCACTTTGAGGGGCCAAGGTGAGCAGATTGCCTGAGCTTAGGAGTTCCAGACCACCCTGGGCCCAGTCTTTACTAAAATACAAAAAATTAGCCAGGCATGGCGACAGGTGGGCCTGTAGTCCCAGCTACTCAGGAGGCTGAAGAAGGAGAATTGCTTGAACCCGGGAGGCAGAGGTTGCAGTGAGCTGAGATCGCAACACTGCACTCCATCCTGGGTGACAAAGTTGAGACTCTGTTTCAAAAAAAAAAAATTTTTCAGACACTTAGGGAAATTTAAGTATAAACTGGATATTAGGTGGCATTATGTTTTTTTTTTCTTTTTTGAGACAGAGTCTTGCTCTGTCTTCCAGGCTAAAGTACAGTGACTCAATCTTGGCTCCCTGCAAGCTCCACCTCCCAGGTTCACACCATTCTCCTGCCTCAGCCTCCCGAGTAGCTGGGAATACAGGTGCCCACCACCATGCCTGGCTGATATTTTATTTTTGTATTTTTAGTGGAGACGGGGTTTCACCGTGATAGCCAGCATGGCTTCGACCTCCTGACCTCGTGATCCACCCACCTCAGCCTCCCAAAGTGCTGGGATTACAGGTGTGAGCCACCGCACCCAGCCAGGTGATATTATGGATTCTTAGGTTTAATAATGGTATTGATGTTATGTAGAAAAATGTCCTTATTCTTAGGAGATAAAAGCTTATATATTTAGGAGTGTCACAAAATCTGCACCATACTCTCAAATGATTTGGCAAAAAAACTGTGTGTGTGTGTGTGTGTGTGTGTGTGTGTGTGTAGAAAGAAAAATCAAGCAAATATGGCAAAACATTAATGATTATTCAATCTAGGTGCTCACTATTCTGTTCTTTTCTGTATGTTAGAATTTTTTTCAAAACAAAAAGCTGGGGAGAAGGAGAAAAAATTCTAAGCGTCAAAGAAACTGTGTAATCCCCATTTTTATCACTTTTTTTGTGACCAAGTGATTTCACTCACCATTTTATTCATCAGTTCCCTGTCTACATACTTAGAGCAAATGAGATAACATAGAATGCTTTGCAAAGTAAAAAGCATGATACAGAATATATAATATCATCGTAATCAACAAGCTCTGAAGTTTAATCACATCCAGACATCTGGCTTCTTTTTCCCTACCTTCTTATGGTTGCAGATTTCACCACTGTAACAGAGCCACATATATGGATATGTCTTCACTTAAATTGGCTGCATTCCAAACAGTGGGTCAACTACCACCAACCAGTGAAATCCAAAGCAGCAACTGGTGTATCCATTGACATTCTCAAAACAGGATGCATTTGGACCCCTGTGTGCAATCTTCATAGCACACAGACACTAAACAGAAAGGCAGTCATTGCTGCCAAACAGGACCCAAATGCCACACACAGTGCAATGAAGCTATAAGCTCCCTATGGAGAGAAAAGTAGACAAATAAAAAATATTCAATATCCAATCCAAGTCGGCATTAAATCTTGATTCCAGAAACGTGCATAAACCACTTCAAAGACTAAAATTTAAACCATCTTTTCTATAGCGATTTCCCATTTGGTTGGCAGGCATACAGGAGTAGAGAATGATTTAATTTACTTACAAGTATTCAGAAAAGATAGTGACCTCTACATTCAACCAGCTACAGCAGCTTAGCACCCAGCCAAAGCCTGCATCTCTCCCACCTTAAGATTTAGTGGTTGGCTAGAGTTAGCAGCATCCAGACCATATCTAACTCTGCATTCTATGTTTGCTTCCAAGATAAAGATACAAATGCAGGCTGGCTCCAACCTAGCCAGAGATCCCAGCCCCACTCTCTGCATCCCAAAGTCCCTCAAAGACCCGAGAGACTTTCCAGATTTCTACAGTCTCCTCTCAGGTTCCCTTGGCAGTTAAATGCCCTCTCTTTTCCTCAACTAGCTGCAGGTAGAATATAATGCGTACAACAGAAAATCACTGTAAGTGTAATATGAAGATACACAGCCCTTTTAAGCATTTCATTATATTACATCTAGCTTACTTCTAAGTGATTTATTCAGATGTGACTGAAGAAAGTCTAAAGGGAAAAAAAGCAATTTAATTTGATAAATTAAATTATCAATTATAGCCAAATTATTTGGCTATAACAAATTAAACATTTTAAGCTGACAGAAGATGCAAACATTTTAAGTTGACAGAAGATATAAAATGTTCACTATCAAAGTGTTGCAACTGATAAAAATGTTCTCAAATATTTCTGTCTCAAACTTGCATTGTTCATTAAGGAAGCAAAATAGGTGGGACATACACAGCAACAACATCCCTCAAAAAACAACTTGGCTCATTCCTATAAGCCAGGCAGCAAATATATCATCCTTACATATGTTAATTACCTTCCAATTTCAAATTCTGAACTGTGAAATAAAGGGCTATTTTATTTGGCTGCTGCCAGTTCAATATGACTGTTTTTATTAAAACATCTCTAAATTGAGAAATATTTGGTGTTTTCTAAAAAACTGCAAATTGCAGCAAATGGCCAGGTAATTTGGAATAAACACCCTACAGAACAAATATATATTCAAGTTGCATAAGTCACTTTGAGAAATCCTTTGAGGATATTTCATTTATATCTAAATGAACCACAGGCTTAGCTGGCTTTTCCGGAAAACCAGAAGCAAATAATGTATGATTATAATGAAAAACATCTCAAGCAATTTGGAAATGAAGTACCACATGTCTTATGCTGTCCCTTCCAAACACTTGACAAAACAGCCTATAACAAATTGTTTACTTTGAGATTTAGCGGGAAAATTCCATGAGATTTAAATGAGATGACTACTAATAAGCCTTCTACCTTTGACTCTATTCCTATTAAAAATGGGTTAGGAAAGTGCTTTGAAAATCAAGTGTGTTCATCAGGGAATCATTTACCTAAGTCTTCTTAACACTGCTTAGTGAATATTAAGCCTGATGTAGTAAATACATGCTAACCACTAAATTGAAGGGGAAAGAAGGAGAACAAAGAGGCATGTAAAGTACACTTACTTTTTCTAGTAGGAAAAAGCCAATTAAAACTATCACCTATTAGTTTTATTGGAATCAGTCTTACAGGAGGACAAACTTCCTACTGTCGCTACCTATTCTCAATATTTTTCTTATTTCTTCCTAAATTTCTAGAGACGTGCTGTCCAATAAATATGTGAGCCACGTACGTAATTTTAAATGTACTGGTAAGCCCCATTAAAAGAAAAGGTGAAATTAATTTTAAATATACTTAACTCAGTATGTCCCAAATAGTAATCATAGTAATAATTTTAACATGTAATAAATATAAAAAAAAATCAAGCAGCTATTCTACACTGTTCTTCCCACTCCAATGACAAAATCCAGTGTATTTAACACAACACATCTCAATTAGGACTAGCCAGGATTCCAAGTGTTCAACAGTTACAAGTGGCTAGCGCCTACTGAATTGGACACTGCAGTTTCAGTGCATTGAATTTCTATCCCACTTAGCGCTAATTAAAACTTCAACCTCTCACCTGACAATTATGCTAAGAACTCAGTAAGTAACCAACTACAGGCAGTTTCAAGCCCTACTTTACCTCTAATTACTCTTACAGCAATGCAATGAATCATGATTTAAAATTTTAAAAAAAAACTGCTGTTAAATTATTAGTCAAGCGTCCAGGGCAATGGACAGTAAAGAAATAAGTAGGTCATGGGCCAAGATGACAAAACGGTCCTTTTATTTAAAGCTATAACAATAATCTGAAGCCAGCCCTGTAAAATAGACATCCATTGAAAAAGGCATGCTAGTTCTTTTGCTTTTTTGTGTACTTGGCCTCCTGTGTCCCTAAACAGACCTCTTCTCAGCAGGGTTTGCTCAGCAAGTCACTTGTTGAGTCTTGCAGTCTACAGAGGGGGTGGGGAATGGCAGGGGCTGGCATAGGAGTGAGAGGGGAGGAGGCAAGGTGAGGGGGGCCAGGTGAGGAGGGGGGCACTTGAAGGGGAGTTCAAGACCAGCCTGGGCAACATGGTGAGACCACCGCCCCTCACCGCCGCCATCTCTGTTCTCACTCTGGTCTCACACACATGAACAAATTAAATTTAATTTAAAAATTAAAATTTGTCAAAATAAGTGAAATATTTACATGGATTATGTATATATTCATTTTGTAGAACTATAGATCCCATGTAACTGGGAACTCTTTACTCTTCTAACACAACATTTATTTAGCCACAAATAAAAGAAGACCAGTGATGTAGCCTGTACACAAAAAAGTAAGAAAACACTGGTTAGGCTGGGGCAGGGGTGGGGGGAAGAGATCTACGAAATTAAAATTTTATTGGGAAGGATCACTAATTAGAATCAGAACAATTACTGCTTTAAAGTAGTTAAGAACAGAGCACAAGAAACCCAGAGAAGAAGCAGATATGATTCAGAGCAGAGCTCACAAAGCAGATGGTATCTGAGCTGAGACTGATAGAATAACATTATTAAGGGCATTCACGGCCATTTATTATCACTTAACTGCAATGCATTTTGTATAAGTTATTTCTACTCTTCATATCGACCATGGAAAATAATACTTATTCTTCTCTTTTGAAGTTAAGGAAGTGGTAAGTGGTCTAAGAAGATAAATTAACATACCAACACCAAATAGCTCAAGTTCAGTGACTCAGGAGTGCCCACATCTCCCCAAGAGGTTGCTTAGCAGGCAGACGAGGTAGAGAGCCCTTCCAAGAAGTGACAGTGAGATGTGAAAGGTCTCAGTGTGTCTCTGAGAACAACAGAAACCAGTAAGTAGACCAAGTGGGAAAAGCCACGGAAGAGGCAGGGATTTCCTCTTAAGATAGCAAGAATAAACAGAGCAGGGCTGAGGGAAGCCATGGAAAATGGGCAGAATACCATGCATTTAGTGAGAAAAAAACAACTTTTACTTTAGAAAGGGGGAAAGAATGGTGGTGGTCTAGGTAAGCCTAGAATCAGAGGAAAGGGCAGTGGAGAAAAAATAAACAAAATGTATTAGTTAGGGTTCTCCAGAGGGACAGATCCAACAAGATACACGTATATGTATAAGGGAGTTTACCAGAGAGAATAGGTTCACACGGTTAGAAGGCAGTCCCACAATAGGCTGTCTGCCAGGTAGGGAAAGAGAGAAGCTAGTAGTGGCTCAGTCCAAGTCCAAAAGCCTCAAAACCAGGAAAGCCCGCAGTGCAGTCTTCAGTCTGAGGCCGAGGGCCTGAGAGCCTCGGGGAAGCCGCTGGTGCAAGTCCCAGAGTCCAAAGACATAAGAACCTGGAGTCTCATGTCCAAGGGCAGGAAGAAGGGAATCAGGTGTCCTGCATGGGAAGAAGAAAAAAAGAGAGCCAGAAGCTTCAGCTAGCAAGGTTATCCCACCTTCCTCTGCCTGCTTTGTTCTATACAGTGCAGCATGTGTACACCACTTCTGTGATATTGTTCCTAATATCCATGGGAAGAAAGGGTGATGTTACTCCCAATAGCGCATGGGGGTGTACATCCCCTGTGATATTATTCCTAGTATGCAGGGGCAGGGAAAGGATGACATTACTCCCAATATCGCAGACGGTGCTCTCCCTGCCTTGTGATATTGTTCCTAATATTTAGGGGATAGTGGGTGATATTACTCCCAATATCACAGAGGGTGTGCACCCCCCATGATATTCTTCCTCATATCCAGGGGGGCGACAGGTTGATATTACAGTCAATGTCACAGAGGGTGTACATCCTCCCGTGGTATTGTTCTTAATATCTGGGTGGGGGGGAGAGGATATTACTGTCAATATCACAGGGGGTGTAGACACCTTTGGTGATATTGTTACTAATATCTGGGGGGGAGAGGATGATATTACTGTCAATATCGCAGGGGGTGTACACCCCCCCGTGGTATTGTTCCTAATATCCGGGAGGGGGAGAGGAAATTACTGTCAATATCACACTGGGTGTACACCTCTTCTGTGATATTGTTCCTAATATCCGGGGGGGAGAGGATATTACTGTCAATATCACAGGGAGTGTACAACGCTTCTGTGATATTGCTCCTAATATCCAGGGGGGAGAAGATATTACTGTCAATATCACAGGGGGTGTACACCCCTTCTGTGATATTGTTCCTAATATCCAGGTGGGGAGAGGATCATATCACTTTCAATATCGCCAAGTGTGTACATCCCCCTTGTGATATTGTTCCGATATTTAGGGGATAGTGGATGATATCACTGTCAATATCGCAGGGGGTGTGCACCCCCAACCCATGGTATTGTTCCTAATGTCCAGCAAGGGAGAAAACACGACTACTCCCAATATGGCAGGGGGTGTACACGTCCTATGTGATACTGTTCCTATATCCATGGGGGAAAAGGATATTGGGAACAATATTACAAACAATATCACAGGGGGGTGTACATGTCCTGCAATATGAGGAGTAATATAACCCTCTCCCCCTCTGGATATTACAAACTGTATCACAGAGGGGTGTAAACCCCCTGGGATGTGGAAAGTAGTATCATCCTCTCCCCTACTGGATATTACAAACAATATCACAGATGGTGTACACATGAGGTGTTTACGATATTGGGAGTAATATCATATCCCCCAGTGGATATTATGAACAATATCACAGAGGGGTGTATACACACTCTGCCTCATGGGGAGTAATATACTCCTCTCCCACCCTGGATATTACATCGCAGGGAGGTGTACATCCCCTGTGATACAGGGAGTAATATCATCCTTTTCCAGCCTGGATATTACAAACAATATGGCAGGGGGCAGTACACCCTGGCGATATGGGTAGTAACATCATCTCCTCCCCGTGTGGATATTATGAACAATATTCTAGGGGGTTGTACACCCCCTGCAATATGGGGAGTAACATCGTCCTCTCCCCCACTAGATGTTATAAACAATATCGCAAGGGGGGTGTACACTTCCTGCAATAAAAGGAGAAATATCATTCTCTCCCCCCAGAGATATTATGAACAATATTGCAGGGAATTGTTCTCCCATGCTATATGGGGAGTAATATCTTCCTCTTCCCCCTGGATATTACGAAAAATAATGCAGAGGAATGTAAATCCCCTGCGATATGGGGAGTAAAATCATTCTCTCTGGCCAGGCGCGGTGGCTCACACCTGTAATCCCAGCACTTTGGGAAGCCGAGGTGGGTGGATCACGAGGTCAGGATATTGAGATCATCCTGGCTAACATGGTGAAACCCCGTCTCTACTAAAAATACAAAAAATTAACCGGGCGCGGTGGCAGGCGCCTGTAGTCCCAGCTACTAGGGAGGCTGAGGCAGGAGAATGGTGTGAACCTGGGAGGCGGAGCTTGCAGTGAGCCAAGATCAGGCCACTGCACTCCAGCCTGGGCGACAGAGCGAGGGTCTGTCTCAAAAAAATAAATAAATAAAATCATTCTCTCCCTCCCTGGATATTATGGACAATATCACAGGGGAGTGTACAATGAGTTTCTAGAATATATTTGAGGAGGGTGAAGGGCGGTGTGTGCGTGCTTCATGGCCTTATTCTATTAAACACTCTGCTCTCAATTTATTGCTAAATCCTCCTTGAGCCCTTAGATTTCATAACGGTTGTCACGAGATTTTTCTGGATGTAGAAAACGTACCTATTTCTTGCCACCTCATGGGCTACACCTTGACCTAACGTTTTTATGTAGATACTTATGCTTACTCTGTGGCCTTTCCAGGGTTTGCTGAAGATGGAGGTATATAGTCTGGGCAAGAGGTGGTGAGGTAAATTGGGGTTTATCGATTATAGAACAGGCTCCTTTAGAGGGATGTAAAGCACCGCCAAGTCCTTTGAGTTTTAAGCTGTTGCTTGTAGTGTTCTGGCGAACAGTTTTGTTGATCTAACTATTCGAGTTTAGGGTTAAGCATAGCGGGGTATCTACTCCCAGTTTGGATCTTAGCTATTTTGTCTTCAGAATATTAAAGGCACTTTCGTAGTTATTTCAGCTTGGGTTTTTTTTACAACTTTTTTAGAATTTATTTAGAAACTTTCAGGTTTCTAAATATATGAATGAACCATAATATAAGCCTTGGCCAATACAATGCAGGTTAGGCCTCCTACTGTAAAAAGGAAAATAAATCCCTGGGCTCACAGCATTGTGGAGGATCATTTGATATTACCGCCATGAAGTGTAGCTAGCTAGTCAGCTAAAAACTTTGATGCTAGTAGGAATATCAATAATTATAGTAGCAGAGGTGAAGCAGGCTCATGTATCCACATCTATCTGTACCGTAAATATATGGTGGGCCCATACAATAAACCGTAAGAACCCAACTGATCCTATAGCTCACACTAGGCCCATATACCTGAATGGTTCTTTTTTTTTCCAGAATAGTGTGTTACGGCGTGGGAAATTATCCCAAAGCCCAGTGGGATGAGGATTTAGACTTCAGGGTGACCAAAGAATCTGAATAAATGCTGACATAAGATAGGATCACCTCCGCCAGCCAGGTAGAAAAAAGTAGTATTAAGATTGCGGTCAGTTAACAATATAGTGATGCCGGAGGCTAGGACTCAGAGACAAAGGAGTAGAAGAACTGCTGTAATTAGGACTAATCAGATGAAGAGGGGTGTGTGATATTGGGACATGGCTGGGGGTTTTATATTAACAATTGTGGTAATAAAGTTAATAGCCCCTGAAGTAGAAGAAACACCTGCCAAGTGGAGTGAAAAGATAGTGAAATCTACAAAGGCGCCTGCATGTGTTAGGTTTCCTGCTAAGGGAGGAGAGACTCTTCAGCCGGTTCCAGTGCCGGCTTCTACTATAGTGGATGCAAGTAATAATAGGAAGGAGGGTGGGAGGAGTCAGAAGCTCATATTATTTATGCAGAGAAATGCTATATAGGGGGCGCCAATTATCAGGGGGACTAATCAGTTGCCAAGACCTCCAATTATAGTATTACTATAAAGAAAATTATGACAAATGCATAGGCTATAACAATGACATAAATTTGATCATCTAGTAGAGTTCAGCTCGAATAAGGCTTAAAGCTGTACTGACTATCCTTGCTCATGTGATAAATAATAAATATAATGTCCCGATATCTTTATGGTTGGTTGAGAATAGTCAACTCTCAGCCAATATAAATGAAGTGAGAAAAAAGGGTAAAATGACTGAGTAGGGCATTAGACTGTACATCTAAAAACAGAGGTCAAGGCCTGTTTTTACCAGTCCCGAGGTGATTTTCACGTTGAATTGTAAATTCAAAGAAGCAGCTTCAATCCTGCTTCTCTCACCTTTTTTCCCCCAGCAGCTGGAGAAGTAGATTCAAACCAGTTGACTAGGGAGTTTAGTTGTTAAGTTTTCGTGGGTTTAAGTCTCATCAATTTAGTAAGGACTTAGCTTACTTAAAGTGATTGATCTGTATTCAACTGAACAAGGGTGGTCTGTATCAGAGAAAGTACATTTCAGGGCCACTATACAACGACTGTTCAAAAAGGCCTCCAATATGGGATAGTCCTATTTATTATCTCAGAAATATTTCTCTTCGCTGGATTCTTTTGAGCATTCTACCATTCTAGCCTAGCCCCTACTCCAGAATTAGGAGGACATTGACCCCCAACAGGTATTTCTCCCCTTGACACCCTGGAAGTACCTCTCCTGAATCCATCTGTATTACTTGCATCAGGAGTTTCAATTACTTGAGCCCATCACAGCCTAACAAAAAATAATCAAAAACATACAATCCAAGCACTACTTATTACAATTATATTAGGTATTTACTTCACCCTCCTACAAGTCTCAGAATACTTCAAAGCTCCCTTTGCTATTTCTGATGGTATTTATGGCTCAACATTTTTTATAGCTACAGGCTTTCACAGACTTCACATCATTATTGGATCAACATTCCTCAGTCTGCCTTCTCCGCCAACTAAAATACCACTTTACATCTAGTCATCACTTTGCCTTTGAAGCTGCTGCCTGATATCGACACTTTGTAGATGTAGTATGACTATTCTTGTATGTTTCTATTTATTGATGAGGATCTTACTCTTTTAGTATAAATAGTACCATGATTTCCAAAGTTTCGATAGCATCCAAAAAACAGTAATTCACCTAACATTAATCCTAGTAATCAACACCCTATTAGCCCTGTTACTAATAATTATTACATTTTGGCTCCCACAACTTAATATATATATAGAGAGAGAGAGAGAAAAAAAAATATATATATATGTATAAAATAAATATATATAGAAAAATCTAGCCCTTATGAATGCAGATTTGACCCTCTACCCTCTGCCCACATTCCCTTCTCCATAAAATTCTTTCTAGTAGCCATCACATTTCCCCTATTTGAGTTAGAACTCGCCCTACTACTATCCTTACTGTGAGCCCTTCAAACAATCTGATACTAATAATCCCTGCGATATGTGTAGTGACTTCATACTTCACCCACCTCCGGGTATTACGGCCAATATCAGAGTGGAGTGTGCACCCCCTGCAATATGGGGAGTGATATCATCCTCTCCCCACTGGATGTTATGGACAATATCACAGGAGGTTTACTTTCTCTGCGTTATGGGGAATAATATCCTCCTGTCCCTGCCTGGATGTTAGACATATTTACAGGGGGGGTGTCCACCCCCTGCAATATGGGGAGTAGTAATATCCTCTCCTGCCCTGGATGTTATGGACAATATATAAGGAGATGTACAATCCCTTCGATATGGGGAGTAATATCATCCTCTTCCCCCTAAACCTTACGAACAGTATCACAGGGGGGTGTACACCCCCTGCGATATCTGGAGTAGTATCTTCCCCTTCTTCCCTAAACGTTACAGAGACTATCACAGGGGTGTGTACACCTTCTGAAACATGGGAATAATATTATCTTCCCCTCTGGATGTTATGGACAACATTACAGCCGTGTGCACCCTCTATGATATGCAGAGTAATATCATCCTCTCCCCCCCCGGATGTAAGAGACAATACCACAAACGGGTTTACATCCCCCGTGATATGGGGAGTAATATCATCCTCTTTCCCACTGGATATTAACAATATCACATGGGGATGTACAACCCCTGTGATATTCGGAATAATATCTTCTAATCCACTGAAAATTATAAACAATATCACCAGTGTACACTCCCTGTGATATTGGAAGTAATATCATCCTCTAATCCCCAAAAAATTATGAACAGTATCACAGGGGAGTGTATGCTTCTTACTATATTGGGAGTAATATCATTCTGTCCTCTTCTAAATATTATGAACAATATTACAGGGGATGTAACACTCCCTGCGATATATGGAGTAATATCATCCTCTCCTCACCTAAATATTGTGAACAATATCACAGGAGGTTGTACACAACCTGTGATATTGTTTGTAGTATCCAGTGGGAAAGAGGATGCTATTACTCCCCATATCACAGGGGGTGTACACCCCCACTGTGATATATTCAATAACATCCAGAAGTAATATTACTGACAAAATTGCAGGGGGTGTAAACCCCACGTGTGATACCGTTCCTAATATCCCGGGGAAGAGAGGATGATATTATTCCCAATATTGCAGGGGGTGTACACCCACCCTATAATATTGTTCTTAATATCCAGGAGGGCAGACAATGGTATTACTCACAGTATCAAAGAGGTTGTACAGCCCCCCTGTGATAGTTTCTAATATCCAGGGGGTGTACACTCCCCTTGTGATATTGTTCCTAATATGTAGGGGGAAGGACAATGATATTACTGTCCGTATCACAGGGGGTGTACAACATGCCCCCCGGGATATCATTCCTAATATCCATGGGAAGAAAGAATACTACAATATCGCAGAAGTTGTACACCCCCTCTGTGATATTGTTCCTAATATCAAAGACGAAAGGGTATGATGTTCTTCCCAAAATCACAGGGAGTGTACACACATCCTGTGCTATTTTTCCTAATATCGAGAGTGAGAGACAATGATACTTCCAATATCATAAGGAGTGTACACTCTCCCCGTGATACCAGGTGGGGAAATGTTGATATTACTCCAAATATCACAGTGGGTGTACACACGTTTTGCGATATTGTTCCTAATATCAAGTGGGGGGTAGGATTGTATTACTCCCAACATATTACTCCCCACACCCCATTATACTGTTCTTAATATCCAGATTTGGAGAGGATGATATTACTCCCAAAATCTCTGGAGGTGTAGAACCCTTCTGTGATACTGTTTCTTATATCCAGGGGAAGACTAGATGATATTACTCCCAACAGTGCAGGGTGTTACACGCCACCCCCCATGATATTGTCTCTAATATCAAGTTGGGGAGAGGGTGATATTGCTCCAAATAATGCAAAAGGTGCACACCAGCCCTGTGATATTATTCCTAGTATCCAGAGGAGGAGAGAATGGTATTATTCTTAATATCACAGAGGGTGCACACCCCCCTTGTGATACTGCTCCTAACATCCAAGGGGTAGAGGATGAAATTACTCCCAATATCACAGTGGGTATACACCCCCCCGTGGTATTTTTCCTAATATCCAAGGGGTATAGGATGATAGTACTATAAATATCGCAAGGGGTGTACACCCCTTCTGATATTGTTACTAATATCCGTGGGGGGAGTCGATGATATTACTTCCAATATCACAGGGCACGTACACCCCCCTTGTGATATTGTTCCTAATATCCTGGGAGGAGACTACGATATTACTGGCAATATCACAGGGGGTGTGCATTCCCGTGATATTGTTCCTAATGTCCAGCAAGGGAGAAAATATTACTCCCAATATGGCGGGGGTGTACACTTCCCATGCGATATCGTTCCTAATATCCATGGGGGAAAAGGATGATATTACTCTAAATGTCGCAGGAGGTGTAAACTGCTCCTGTGATATTGTTCTCAATATCCATGGGGGGAGAGAATGATATTACTCCCAATATCACAGGTGGTTGTCACCCCTCCTGTTATATTATTCCTAATATCCAGGTTGGAAGAGAATAATATTACAGTTAAAATAGCAGGTGGTGTACACTCCGCCTGTGATATTGTTCCTAATATCCAGGGGAAGAGTGGACAATATTACTCCCAATATCGCAGGATGTGTACACCCCCTTTGTGATATTGTTCCTAACATCCATAGGGGGAGAGGGTGATACCACTCCCAATAGTGCAGAAAAGGTACAGCCCCGCTGTAATATCATTCCCAATATCCAGAGGGGACAGGATGATATTACTCCCAATATCACAGAGGGCATACACCCCCTCCCCATGATATTGTTCATAATACCCAGGGGGTAGAGGATGATATTACTCCCAATATCGCAGTGGGTGTACACCCACCCTATGATATTGTTCCTAATATCCATGTGAAAAGGGTATAAAGTTACTCCCAATATCACAGGGGGTGTACAACCCCCGTGTGATATTGATCCTAATATTCGGGGGAGAGACAATGATATAGCTGTCCATATTGCAGGTGGTGTACAATCCCCTGGGAATTTGTTCCTAATATTCAGTGGGGAAGATTATATTAATTAAAATGTCACGGGGGGTATACAACCCCTTTGCGATATTATTCCTAATATCCAGGGAAATAAAGAATATTATTCCCAATATCGCAGGGGATGTACACCCCTCTCTGATACTGTTTCTAATAACCCTGGGGAGAGTCTATAATATTACTGGCAATATCATAAGGAGTGTATACCCCTCGTTATATTGTTCCTTATGTCCAGCAAGGGAGAAAATATTAATCCCAATATGGAACAGGGTGTACACACCCATGAGGTATTGTTCCTAATATCCAGGGAGGGAAAGGATGATATTACTCCCAATGATGCAGCGGTGTATAACCCCCCGTGATATAGTTCCTAATATCTAGGTGGGGAAAGTACAGTATTTCTCCCAATATAGCAGGGGTTGTACACCGCCTTTGTGATATTGTTCTAAATATCCATGGGGAAAGAAAATGATAGTACTCCCCAATATCGCAGGTGGTGTACAACCTCCTGTGATACTGTTTCTAATATCCATGTTGGGGGAGGATATTACTCCCAATATTGCACGTGTTGCACAGACCCTCTTTGATATTGTTTGTACTATGCAGGGTGTGGGGGGAGAGGATGATATTGAGAGTAATATCACCCTCTCTCCCCGGATATTAAAAGTAATATTCAGGGTGGTCGACACCTCCTGCAATATTGAGTATAATATCTTCTCCAAACCTGGATATTAGGAACAATATCACAGGGGCATGTACACTCCCTTCCTTTCACCATATACAAAAATCAACTCAAGATGGATGAAGGACTTATGTAAGACCCAAAACTATATAAACCCTAGAAGATAACTTAGGAAATATCATTCTGGACATAGACGCTGGCAAAGATTTCATGATGAAGATTCCAAAAGCAATTGCAACAAGAAGAATTGAGGAGTGGGACCTAATGAAACTAAAGAGCTTCAGCACAGCAAAAGAAACTATCAACAGAGAACACCCTACAGAACAGAAGAAAATATTTTCAAATTACATATCTGAAAAATGTCTAACACTCAGCATGTATAAAGAATCAATAAGCAAAAAGCAAACCCACTACAAATAGGCAAAGAACATGAACCCCCACATTCACCATCCTCAAGTCCATGTGCAACTTCTTTCTGGATGCTGGACAAGGACTTGGGTACCAAGAGGGCACTGAACAGGTTAACACTTAAGCCGTCTGTGGATTCTTTTTTCAAAAGACAACGTATGTGTGGAAAACAACCATATGAAAAAATATTCAACATCACTAATCATCAGAAAATCAGAACCATGAGATACCATATCACACCGGTCAGAATGGCTATTATTAAAAAATCAAAACAAAACAGACGGTGCCGAGTTTGTGGAAAAAGGGGAATGCTTATACACTGCTGGTGGTGATATAGAAAGGAGACAGGGAAATACTGGGTAGAAGAGAGTGGTTCCCTGGCAAAGCCCTGCCCACAAGCCTGGAAACCCATGGCCCTAAATGGGAAAAGGCATTCCTGCTTTTGCACCCAAAAGTTGTCTTTCAGCTCAGCATGCACCCCCTGTCCTGTACCCGTATATGTCCCAGACCCCAGGCTCCAGAAGCAGACAAGCAGATGAGGAGATGAACAGAAGAGCAGAATTGCAGAATGATGTGGCAGAAAGAAGAGAAGGAGCACCTGAATGCCAAGAGGAGTTTGGCTGGCAGTGGTTGGAGAGATCAGCCTCCGGATGGCAAAGCTCCCGGAGAAGATCATCTTCCATTCCATCCCCTTTCCAGCTCCCCATCCATCCCATTGAGTGCCACCTCCACCACTCAATAAAACCCCCACATTCACCATCCTCAAGTCTGTGTGCAACTTAATTCTTTCTGGATGCTGGACAAGGAACTGGGTACCAAGAGGGCACTGAACAGGTTAACACTTAAGCAGTCTGTGGATGGCAAAGCTAAAAGAGTGCACTGTAACACATGCCCACTTGGGCTGTGGGAGTCGCAGGCACCCACCCCTAGACAGTACCATGGCCACTTGCCCTGTCTATTGCACCTGCCTGTCTGCATGCTCCCCTGCCCAGTAAGGGGTTTGACAGCACACACGGTGGCCAGACAAGCCACACCCCTGTTGCACATCCTGCCAAGGGGAGTCAGGGAACTCTCCAGTTTCATCAAGAATGTAAATTTTTTCAGCCATTGTGGAAAGCAGTTTGGAGATTTCTGAAATAACTTAAAACAGAACTACCATTCAACTCAGCAATCCCATCACTGGGTATATACCCAAAGGAATATAAATCATTCTGTCATAGACATATGCACGCATATTTTCATTATAACACTATTCACAATAGCAAAGACACGGAATCAACTTAGATGCCTGTTAACAGAAGACTGGATTTAAAAAATGCAGTGTACATACACCATGGAATACTACACACCTATAAAATAGGATGAAATAATGTCTTTTGCAGCAACATGAATGGAGCTGGATACCACTATTCTAAGTGAATTAATGCAGGAACAGAAAACCAAACAAACACTGCATGTTCTCACTTATAAGTGGGGGCTAAACGTTGAGTCCACATGGACACAAAGAAGGGAACAATAGACACAAGGTCTACTGTGGGTGGAGGGTGGGGGGGAGAGTGAGGATCAAAAAACTCCCTATTAGATACTACGCTCACTACCTGGATGACTACGTAATCTGTACACCAAATCCCATTGACACACATTTTACCCATATAATAAACCTGCACATGTACCCGCTGAACCTAAAATAAATGTTGGAAGGAAATAAAGTTACAACCAACTCTTGTACTGTTGTGAGGAAACAATCATATGTGTTCACAAAAAATCAACTACTAATAGATTTATAATAGTATATATGTAGCAGAAAAATATCAGATATAACTTATATACCCAAAAGTATGACTTAAAAACAGCATGACAATCTTTATGATGGGATATTGTGCAACTACTAGAAGCACATTTTCAGAGATTATTTATTAACTTATGATAATGACTACATTGAGTGGTTTTTAGAAGCATGAATTGAAACCATGTATAAGCATGACTTTATTGAACTTATATATAACATTACACACACATTTACATAATTATAAAATAAGTATGTGCATGTTCATAATATGTATTTATTTATATTCATATGTAAGGCCAATAGGAAGTAATCTCTGTATCTGAGTTATTATTTCATAAATAATTTATGCTTGTTCTGTGAAAATAAAAACACTGCTATGGATCTTCCAAGTATCCTGAAAGGATACCGTTTATAATTAAACAATAACAATTTTAGAAATAATTATTTTAAATAAAGCTATGATAAATCTGGTTTCATTGCACACTTTAACTTTGGAACATTTCATGAAGCGTCCCTTGATCACGACTCTCACATTCAGGAGTTTTTTGAGATCAAATGGGACAATCAGTATGAATCTATTTTTTAGACATGCAAATGGATAACTTTAAATAGCAGTAGCGATATAGAGTGCACAGTTGCTCTGGGACAAAACTTGGAAATGAGCATATTTTTAGATTCTTAATGTTTTGCACACTTTAGCATTCCACAGCACCATTACATACTCATTTTTCTACTAGAATACCTTGGTAAAAATTCACAGTAGAGATCAGGCTTGTCCATACATTAACTAATCAAGTAGGAAAGTGCAAATGAGAACACAGTGCCAAACATAGGCACCACATGGAAACAAGCATGGAACTGCCAGGAAGCCATTTTTGTAGCTTTATAGCCCAATTATATTTTTCCTAATGTATTGCACACAAAACTTGGGGGGAAAATAAGAGGCAGAGAGAAAACAGGTTATATCAGCCCTATCTCACAATCCACAAGTTCATCCTATTAGAGGAGTAACTATGTAAAACAAACTTTATCTGTTGAATGTCCTATTTAGTTAATCACAAAACTGTACGAGAAGACACTTGTGACTTATTTAGCAGCTTGTTTGTTCGCTTTCCACTGGCTTCACAAATGTCCTTTGGAAAGAGAAAGTACATTTGGAACCCTGTACACCTTTTCTTTCTCCAGTACCCTCTTGTCACTTCCATCACTAAGGTGACAGAAGCAACTAGGGGCAATGCATTTGTAGCACACCTGGGTCAGAGGTATCCTCCAGGGGAAGGATCAGACCTGCTTGAAAACATGTCGTTGGAATTGGGAGGCTTCTAGTAGCTATAACATAAGCACTGATGTTTACTGTTCCCTGCCCTCCACTTTGATCACTCTGGGAAACGTTTTTTTTTAAAAAATCAATTGTATTCAAACATAATTTACATAAAATAAATATTCCTATTTTAAAGTGCACAGTTTGCTGAGTTTTGCCAGATGTAACCATCCAGTTGAATAAAATTGATTAAACTGATCTTTCAAATAATAAATTAACCTTGCAATCTTGCTAGAAATTTAATTTGTTCAGTTTATTATCCATTCTATGTACTGCTACATTCAATTGGTTATTAAGTTTTAAGGACTTTTGAGTCTATGTTTATGAGGAATAAACATCAAAGTTGTATAATGCCTTTGTCTCGATTTGGAATCAGGGCAATACTGGGTTCATAAAATAAGATAGGAATTGTCCCTTTAGATTCTTTTTTTTTTTTTTTTTTTTTTTTTTTGAGACGGAGATTCACTCTTGTTGCCAGGCTGGAGTGCAATGGCACAATTTCGGCTCTCCGCAACCTCTGCCTCCCAGATTCAAGCTATTCTCCTGCCTCTGGCTTCCGAGGAGCTGGGATTACAGACAAGCGCCACCATGCCCTGCTAATTTTGTACTTTTAGTAGAGACGGGGGTTTCTCCATGCTGGCCAGGTTGGTCTCAAACTCCTGACCCCAGGTGATCTGCCCATCTTGGCCTCCCAAAGTGCTGGGATTACAGGTGTGAGCCACTGTGCCCAGCCCTTAAATTCTATTTCTTAAAAAGAGTCCGTTCAAGGTTGATATTATAGATACTCCTCAACTTACAATGGTCTTATGTCTTAATGAACTCATCCTAAATTGAAAATATTGTAAGTCTAAAATGCATTTAATATATTTAACCTACTGAATATCATGACTTAGCCTCGCCTACCTTAAACTTGCTCAGAACATTTACATTATCCTACAATTGGGCAAAATCATCTACCACAAGGCCCATTTTAAAATATTGAGTATCTCATGAAATTTATTGAAAACTATACTGATAGTGAAAAACTGGTCATATTGATGCTCATCATTAATGTACACAGATGAAAGCACCATTATCAAGTCAGAAGAGCACAAGTCAAACCACCGTAAGTTGAGGACTCTCTGTACTTTCTTAAATGTTTGATAGAATTCACCTAAGAAACCATGTAGCCTGTAATTATAGAAATCTTTTTAAATTAAAAAAATTCTTCAATACATAGAGAGCTATTACTTTTTCTATTTCATTTTGCATCAGTTTTTAGAATTAGTTTTACAAATAATTTCCCAGTTATTTTAATTGTCAAATGTATTGGCCTAAAGTTTTCATAATTGTATTGATGTCTGTAGGTTCTGTAGTTACATCCTCCATTTAATTCTCATTATCTACATTATGTAGCTTCTCTAATTTTTTTCAAGATAAATCTTGCTAGCCATTGTTTATTAAAAAAATTTTTTTCAAAGAACCAATTTGTGGGTATATTAATTAGCTCCACCTTTTGTTATTTGCTATGTTGTTGGTTTACATTTTTATCTTTATCATCTTCCTTCTTCTTAATTTGGATATACTTTGCTCATTTTTTTAGCCTCTTAAAAAAGAACCTAAAGGTCATTGATTGAAGCCTTTTATTTTCAATATATTACATCTATAAATGTACCTTTAAGAAATGATTTATCTGCATCCCACATTTTATTAAGTTTTTAAAAATTTTCTTTCAGTTTAAACTATTTTTTTTGTGTGTGAAACTTTTCTTGACCAATGGGTTTTTCTGAAGCATTTTGTTTAATGTTCAAATGTTGGGGTGTTATTGTATATATCCTACTGTTGTCCATCTCTGGTTCATGATACAATGCATTTTCTCCATTGCACTTAGTTGACATGTCTCCATGTCTCTGGCGAATTCCTCAGTCTTTCTAAAATGCTTTTGAAGAATACTGGCAGTTATTTTGTAAAATGTCCCTCCTCAATTTCAGTTAGTCTGATATTTTCTCACGATTAGGACTAAAGTTATACATTTTGTCTAAGAATACCATAGAATTGATGTTTTGTCCTACTCAGTGCATCATATAAGAAGTTACATGAAGTTCATTTATTTTATTATTAGTAATGTTAACTTTGATCACTTGGCTAAGTTGACATCTCCACTTTGAAGTTACTATTCTATAATTATCTTGTGGGAAGATACTTTCATATTATGCAAAAATGTTCTTTCCCAACATATATTCACCACTAATCTTAGCATCCCTCCAAGGTTCTTTCTTGCAACAATTATTACTATGATATTTGCAAAGTGATGATTCTTATATTTTATGTCTCCTACATTTAATGAAATCTTACTGTAATAAAATACTGCCCATTCTCAACCTTTGGTTTATTATTTATGTCAATATGGATTATTACTTTTTTTTGAGATGGAGTCTTGCTTTGTCATCCAGGCTGGTGTGCAATGGTGCAATTTCCGCTCACTGCACTTCCACCTTCCAGGATTCAAGCCATTCTCCTGCCTCAGCCTCCCGAGTAGCTGGGACTACAGTCATGTGCCACCATGCCCGGCTAATTTTTGTATTTTTAGTAGAGGCAGGGATTCACCACATTGGTCAGGCTGGTCTTGAACTCCTGACCTCAAGTGATCTGCCCGCCTCGGCCTCCCAAAGTGCTGGGAATACAGGCATGAGCCACCGCACCCGGCATGGATTAATTGAAAATTTTCTTCTGTAGATTGTAATATATTATTATTGTTATTTATTTTATTGCCCCAATTTTCTCAAATTTGGCCATGGAAGTTGATTCAAAGTGGATTCTGTTTCCTTTTCACATTTTCCCCATTTTGTGAGCATTTCCTTACTTTCTAACATGACAAAATATTTCAAACTAATCTTGTATTTTCCCTGCCCAATCCTGATATCAAATATGTCCCCAAGGAGCCTTGGTTCCTTCAATTGGAGAATGGTGTTCTCATTGTTACTGGGATGATGTTGTTTCTAGGCCCTTTTGTTAGAAGAGCTAGAAAATGTATGTATGTATACTCACACATTTATACACATCTGTACTTATTTATACAATTATCCATCTGTACGTATACTAAAAACAATGATTTCATAAAACTTTTGACCCCAATCCAACACTAGATAAAGACTATATAGGCCCATTTATTTGCAAATCAGCACATAAACATAGAAGGATTATTAACAATATAAGCTGTAGCTTATGCTGAATGTTGGTTGGAACAGACAATAAATTATGGAGAACTTCAGAGCACACTAAGTTTGGATGGGATCTTGGAAGTTGTACAGGTCAATGCCACTCCATCTATTGGCTAAGTTTCACAGGTTAATACATGAACAACAACAAAAATAACCTAGATCAGAAGTTAAAGATCATTTTATTGACTATCTGCTGTGTCTGTGCCACTGCAATGTACCAGGTGCACTTACGAATCCTCTACTTACAAACTGCTTTTCACAAAATATGAAACTCCAGGCAAAGGTTCAGACATATGACGTTTGTTTTTAAAATCTTTCTACAGCCTTGTATCCTTTTTCCTTTCCTTCCTTTTACCCTTTTTAAAATGTATTATGAGTTTTATGTTAGACTAACATCTGTAATGTTGCTATATGACAGTATTCAGTTGCTGTGTTTGATGAATCATAAAATGGTGTAAAACTTCAATTAGTGCACTTTTTAAATAAAGTATCTATGAATGAATCCAGCAAAATGTTTATGATTTGAGTATTCACAAAATGTTACTTTTCTCTGGATCTAACAATAATGTGAAAACCCAAAATGAATATAAAATATTAGCTAATAATAGATTTCAAAGTATTCTACAAGTATGAAAAATATATGATATTGTTACTTTCATATATGTAAAACATTAATAATTTTTGTCAACATAAACATCATCTTTACACCTAAACTTGTATTAATTCAATTAAGAGTTAATATAGTATCCTAAAGTCATCAAATATTCAAAAATAGGATGTATTCTGACTTGGAATATACATAAAATTAACTATTTTCAGCTGAGCACAGTGGCTCACGCCTGTAATTCCAGCACTTTGGGAGGCTGAGGTAGGCAGATTGCTTGAGATCAGGAGTTTCAGACCAGCCTGGCCAAGATGGTGAAACCCTGTCTCTACCAAAAATACAAGTTAGCCAGGCATGGTGGAACCTGCGTGTAATCCCAACTACTCTGAAGGCTGAGGCAGGAGAATCACTTGAACCCAAGAGGCAGAGGTTGCAGTGAGCCAAGATTGTGCCACTGCACTCCAGCCTGGGTGACAGAGTGAGGCTCCATATCAAAATAATAATAATAATAATAATAATAATAATAATAATAACTATTTTCTGTGAGTCCAAAGATAAAATAGCATTACAGAATACCTAATAATCCTGAGCTTGGTTTTCTTGGTTTTATTTTTTCATTTAGTTTTGCTCACCTTGACCAGTGGGCTGGTGGTTCTTAGGTGCACCAAGGTTTTCATTTTTCAGTTCAAGATTTTAAAACCTTAATGTGGTAATTTCTCTAATTTTTTTGACAGTTACATCCCAGGTTGCAAGTTAAAATAAAATTCCCATTTTACTAAAGTCCTTGGTTTATTAATGATTTTATAATGACTTAATATATAATTTAATGAGTAATGAGGGGTACTACATTTCAGAAATCAACACTGAAGAACTTATTCATGGAACCAAACACCACCTGTTTCTCAAACACCTATTAAAATAAAAATACATATAAATAATTTTTAAAAATAAACACAAAAAATAAAGTGAAAATGAAAAAATATATATCCAGGTTAAAAAAAAAAAAACTACTTCAGTTAAACAATAAATACTTTTTGGGGGGACTCAACTCTACTACAAAATTATTCGTTGTTTATTATAATCAATAATACAGGTAAAAGAATAAGTTTTTAAAAATGGAAAAATTGTAAAAAATAAAACGATATTAACAAATATTGGTATACTGTTGAAGGCCGAGCTCAGTGGCTGCTTTCCAAAGTGGTTACACCAGTCGGGTGTGGTGGCACACAACTGTAATCTCAGCACTTCCGGAAGCTGAAGCAGGCAGATCACTTGAGCTCAGGGGTTTGACACAAACCTGGGCTACATGACAGAACCCCATTTCTACCAAAAACTGTAAAAATCAGCTGCACATGATAGCATGCATCTGTAAGTCCCAGCTATTTAGGAGGCTGAGGTGAGAGGATCACTTGTGACTGGAAGGTCACAGCTGCACTGGCCATGTTCATGTCACTGCACTCCAGCCTGGGCAACAGAGCAAGATTTTGTCTCAAAAAAAAAAAAAAAGTTGGTGACGATTGGAATAATTGGAATTCACATACATTACTGGTGGGAACATAAAATGGTGTAATCAATTTGGGTGTTTTCTTGGCATTTGATTTTTTTAAAAAATCAAGACATTGTTTCCCTATGTTTCCCAGGCTTGTCCTGAACTCCCAAGCTAAGAAAATCCTCCAGACTCAGCGTCTCAAATACCTGAGATTAAAGGTGTGAGCCACTGTGCCTGACCAGTGTAACCACTTTGAAAAACAACGTGGCAGTTTCTCAAAGACTAAATGTATAATAATCACATAATGCAACAATTTCACTCCTGAGTGTAAATCCAAGAGAAATAAAAATATATGTTCCCACTAAAACTTACATACGAGTGTTCATAGCAGCCTGACTCATGATGGTGAATACGCAAAAACAACACAAATGTCCATCAACTAATGAAAGGATAAACATAAACTATTACTCAGCTATAAAAGGAAAGAAATCCTGATACACACTATAACATGAAAGAAATTTGAAAACATTCTGCTAAGAGAAAAAAAAAGGAAACTACAAAAGATCACACACTGTACAATTCTATTTCTATAAAAGGTCCAGATTAGGCAAAACTACAATGACAGAAAATAAATCAGTGGTTGCCTATGAACATGGGGGCTGTAGGAGGTAGTGGCTAAGAGGTGAGGGTTTCTCACTCATAAATGGGTAACTCATAAGTGGGTAATCACTTCTAAGAAAGACTGTGGTGATGGATGCACAGCTCCTTGAATATTCTAAAAACCACTCAATTGTATACTTTCTTTTTTTCTTTAGTTATTTAAAGACAGGGTCTCCTTTTGTCACCCATGCTGTAGTGCAGTGGTGCCATCTGGTCTCACTGCAACCTATGGCTTCTGGACTCAAGTGATCTTCCAGTCTCACGTCCCCAAGTAGTTGGGACTACAGGCATGAGCCACCACACCCAGCTAATTTTTGTATTTTTGCTAGAGATGTTGTTTTGCCATGTTGCCCAGGCTAGTCGCAAACTCCTGAACACAAGCGATCCACCTGCCTCAGCTGCCCAAAGTCTTAGCGTTATAGGAACTAGCCACTGCACCTGGCCTGAATTGTGTACTTTGATAAATGAATTGCATGATACGTTAATCATATTTCAATAACGTTATTATTTTAAAAATATCTGGGCATGGCTTGGTGACTCACGCCTCTGATCTCAGCACACTGGGAGGCCAAGGTGGGTGGATTGCCTGATTTCAGGAGTTCGAGATCAGTCTGGCCAACATAATGAAACCCTGTCTCTACTAAAAATACAAAAATATTAGCTGAGAGTGGTGACATGTGCCTGTAATTCCAGCTAGTTGGGAGGCTGAGGCAGGGGAGTTGCTTGAACCAGGGAGGTGGAGGTTGCAGTCAGCCGAGTTCATGCCACTGCATTCCAGCCTGCGTGACAGAGAGAGAGTCCATCTCCAAAAGAAAGAAAGAAAAAGAAAATGGTCTTTGAACACAGGTGGCTCCCACCTACGTATAATCCAAGCACTTTGGGAAGCTGAGGCAGAATGATCACTTGAGGCCAGAAGTCTGACAACATCCTGAGCAACACAGCAAGTTTCTGTCTGTACAATAAAAAATAAAGAAGTTAGCTGGGCATAGGGGCAAATGTATGTAGTCCCAGCTACTTGGGAGGCTGAGGTGGGAGGACTGTTTGAGTCCAGGGTTTCAGGCTGCAGTGAACCAAGATCATGCCACCGCACTGCAGCCTGGGTGACAGAACAAGACCCTGTCTCTAGAAAGAAAAAAAAAGAAATCCAAGTTTTTATCATCTTCTGAGAGTAATCAACATTCAGGAGGAACAGAGAACAAAAGACCACTGAATGGTTGAGGGTGGGTTGCTGGTTAGGTTCAGTGGCCAGCTGAGTAGTATGTGAAAAATTCATTAGTAAAATTATGGCGCTAGGGGAGAGTCATGCAGTCGAATGATGAATACTAAATCCAGTACAAACACCCATGGTCTTTCTTTACATGAATTC